>NC_000018.10:16431252-16431756 GCF_000001405.40 Homo sapiens
AGCATTCTCAGAAACTTACTCGTGATGTGTGTCCTCAACTAAAGGAGTAGAACCTTTCTTTTCATAGAGAAGTTTTGAAACGCTCTTTTTGTGGAATCTGCAAGTGGATATTTGGCTAGTTTGGAGGATTTCGTTGGAAGCGGGAATTCATACAAATTGCAGACTGCAGCGTTCTGAGAAACATCTTTGTGATGTTTGTATTCAGGACACAGAGTTGAACATTCCCTATCATAGAGCAGGTTTGAATCACTCCTTTTCTAGTATCTGGAAGTGGACATTTGGAGCGCTTTCAGGCCTATGTTGGAAAAGGAAATATCTTCCCATAACAAATAGACAGAAGCATTCTCAGAAACTTATTTGAGATGTGTGTACTCAACTAAGAGAATTGAACCACCGTTTTGAAGGAGCAGTTTTGAAACACTCTTTTTCTGGAATCTGCAAGTGGATATTTGGCTAGCTTGGGGATTTCGCTGGAAGCGGGAATACATATAAAAAGCACACAGC
>NC_000018.10:16769859-16770167 GCF_000001405.40 Homo sapiens
GCAGCATTGTTTGTAATATAGCAAAANNTGGGGGAAANACCTAAATGCCCACCTACAGGGAACTGGTTAAATGCAGTATGTTAGATGAAAAGAGCAGAATGCCACAATATAAGAGGATGATGTCACTCTAAATGTTCATACTGCACCATCTCCAAGATATATTGCTCACTGTGTGTATGGTATGCTGCCATTAGTGTAAAAAAAATGGAGAGGAGGAAAAGATAGATAAATATAGATAGGTAGGTAGGTAGAAAGATATGATGATGGATGGGATGGATGGGATGGATGGATGGATGGATGNATGNATG
>NC_000018.10:16770180-16876468 GCF_000001405.40 Homo sapiens
ANNNCNNANATCNNAAAGCAGTTTCTCNGAACGCTGCAGCATTCTCAGAAACTTGTTTATGCTGTATCTACTCAGCTAACAAAGTTGAACCTTTCTTTTGATAGAGCAGTTTTGAAATGCTCTTTTTGTGGAGTCTACAAGTGGATATTTGGCTAGATTTGAGGATTTCGTTGGAAGCGGGAATTCATACAAATTGCAGACTGCAGCGTTCTGAGAAACATCTTTGTGATGTTTGTATTCAGGACACAGAGTTGAACATTCCCTATCATAGAGCAGGTTGGAATCACTCCTTTTGTAGTATCTGGAAGTGGCCATTTCGAGCGCTTTCAGGCCTATGTTGAAAAAGGAAATATCTTCCCATAACAAGTAGACACAAGCATTCTCAGAAACTTATTTGAGATGTGTGTACTCAACTAAGAGAATTGAACCACCGTTTTAAAAGAGCAGTTTTGAAACACTCTTTTTCTGGAATCTGCAAGTGGATATTTGGCTAGCTTTGGGGATTTCGCTGGAAGCGGGAATACCTATAAAGAGCACACAGCAGCGTTCTGAGAATCTGCTTTCTGATGTTTGCATTCAAGTCAAAAGTTGAACACTCACTTTCATAGAGCAGTCTTGAAACACCCCTTTTGTAGTATCTGGAACTGGACATTTGGAGCGCTTTCAGGGCTAAGGTGAAAAAGGAAATATCTTCCCATAAAAACTGGACAGAAGCATTCTCAGAAACTTGTTTATGCTGTATCTACTCAGAAACTTGTTTATGCTGTATCTACTCAACTAACAAAGTTGAACCTTTCTTTTGATAGAGCAGTTTTGAAATGCTCTTTTTGTGGAATCTGCAAGTGGATATTTGGCTAGGTTTGAGGATTTCGTTGGAAGCGGGAATTCATACAAATTGCAGACTGCAGCATTCTCAGAAACTTATTTGAGATGTGTGTACTCAACTAAGAGAATTGAACCACCGTTTTGAAGGAGCAGTTTTGAAACACTCTTTTTCTGGAATCTGCAAGTGGATATTTAGCTAGATTTGAGGATTTCGTTGGAAACGGGATTACATATACAAAGCAGACAGCAGCAGTCTCAGAAAGTTCTTTGTGATGATTGCATTCAAGTCACAGAATTGAACATTCCCTTTCACAGAGCAGGTTTGAAACACTCTTTTTGTAGTGTGTGTAAGTGGACATTTGGAGCACTTTCCGGCCTAAGGTGAAAAAGGAAATATCTTCCCATAAAAACTAGACAGAAGCATTCTCAGAAACTTACTCGTGATGTGTGTCCTCAACTAAAGGTGTAGAACCTTTCTTTTCATAGAGAAGTTTTGAAACGCTCTTTTTGTGGAATCTGCAAGTGGATATTTGGCTAGTTTTGAGGATTTCGTTGGAAGCGGGAATTCATACAAATTGCAGACTGCAGCGTTCTGAGAAATATCTTTGTGATGTTTGTATTCAGGACACAGAGTTGAACATTCCCTATCATAGAGCAGGTTGGAATCACTCCTTTTGTAGTATCTGGAAGTGGACATTTGGAGCGCTTTCAGGCCTATGTTGAAAAAGGAAATATCTTCCCATAACAACTAGACACAAGCATTCTCAGAAACTTATTTGAGATGTGTGTACTCAACTAAGAGAATTGAACCACCGTTTTGAAGGAGCAGTTTTGAAACTCTCTTTTTCTGGAATCTGCAAGTGGATATTTGGCTAGCTTTGGGGATTTCGCTGGAAGCGGGAATACATATAAAAAGCACACAGCAGCGTTCTGAGAAACTGCTTTCTGATGTTTGCATTCAAGTCAAAAGTTGAACACTCCCTTTCATAGAGCAGTCTTGAAACACCCCTTTTGTAGTATCTGGAACTGGACTTTTGGAGCGATTTCAGGGCTAAGGTGAAAAAGGAAATATCTTCCCATAAAAACTGGACAGAAGCATTCTCAGAAACTTGTTTATGCTGTATCTACTCAACTAACAAAGTTGAACCTTTCTTTTGATAGAGCAGTTTTGAAATGGTCTTTTTGTGGAATCTGCAAGTGGATATTTGGCTAGTTTTGAGGATTTCGTTGGAAGCGGGAATTCATACAAATTGCAGACTGCAGCGTTCTGAGAAACATCTTTGTGATGTTTGTATTCAGGACACAGAGTTGAACATTCCCTATCATAGAGCAGGTTGGAATCACTCCTTTTGTAGTATCTGGAAGTGGACATTTGGAGCGCTTTCAGGCCTATTTTGGAAAGGGAAATATCTTCCCGTAACAACTATGCAGAAGCATTCTCAGAAACTTGTTTGTGATGTGTGCCCTCTACTGACAGAGTTGAACCTTTCTTTTCATAGAGCAGTTTTGAAACACTCTTTTTGTAGAATCTGCAAGAGGATATTTGCATAGCTTTGAGGATTTCGTGGGAAACGGGATTGTCTTCAGGTAAAATCTAGACAGAAGCATTCTCAGAAACTTCTTTGGGATGTTTGCATTCAAGTCACAGAGTAGAACATTCCCTTTGGTAGAGCAGGTTTGAAACACTCTTTTTGTAGTATCTGGAAGTGGACATTTGGAGCGCTTTCAGGCCCATGTTGGAAAGGGAAATATCTTCCCGTAACAACTAGGCAGAAGCATTCTCAGAAACTTATTTGAGATGTGTGTACTCAACTAAGAGAATTGAACCACCGTTTTGAAGGAGCAGTTTTGAAACACTCTTTTTCTGGAATCTGCAAGAGTATATTTGCCTAGCCTTGAGGATTTCGTTGGAAACGGGATTGTCTTCAGAGAAAATCTAGACAGAAGCATTCTCAGAAACTTCTTTGGGATGTTTGCATTCAAGTCACAGAGTAGAACATTCCCTTTGGTAGAGCAGGTTTGAAACACTCTTTTTTTAGTATATGGAAGTGGACATTTGGATCGCTTTCAGGCCTACGTTGGAAAAGGAAATATCTTCCCATAACAACTAGACAGAAGCATTCTCAGAAACTAGTTTCTGATGTGTGTCCTCAACTAACACAGTTGAACATTTCTTTAGACAGAACAGTTTTGAAACACTCTTTTTGTGGAATCTGCAAGTGGCTATTTGGCTAGATTTGAGGATTTCGTTGGAAACGGGATTACATATAAAAAGCAGTCAGCAGCATTCTCAGAAAGTTCTTTGTGATGATTGCATTCAAGTCACAGAATTGAACATTCCCTTTCACAGAGCAGGTTTGAAACACTCTTTTTGTAGTGTGTGTAAGTGGACATTTGGAGCACTTACCGGCCTAAGGTGAAAAAGGAAATATCTTCCCATAAAAACTAGACAGAAGCATTCTCAGAAACTTACTCGTGATGTGTGTCCTCAACTAAAGGAGTAGAACCTTTCTTTTCATAGAGAAGTTTTGAAACGCTCTTTTTGTGGAATCTGCAAGTGGATATTTGGCTAGTTTTGAGGATTTCGTTGGAAGCGGGAATTCATACAAATTGCAGACTGCAGCGTTCTGAGAAACATCTTTGTGATGTTTGTATTCAGGACACAGAGTTGAACATTCCCTATCATAGAGCAGGTTTGAATCACTCCTTTTGTAGTATCTGGAAGTGGACATTTGGAGCGCTTTCAGGCCTATGTTGGAAAAGGAAATATCTTCCCATAACAACTAGACAGAAGCATTCTCAGAAACTTATTTGAGATGTGTGTACTCAACTAAGAGAATTGAACCACCGTTTTGAAGGAGCAGTTTTGAAACACTCTTTTTCTGGAATCTGCAAGTGGATATTTGGCTAGCTTTGGGGATTTCGCTGGAAGCGGGAATACATATAAAAAGCACACAGCAGCGTTCTGAGAAACTGCTTTCTGATGTTTGCATTCAAGTCAAAAGTTGAACACTCCCTTTCATAGAGCAGTCTTGAAACACCCCTTTTGTAGTATCTGGAACTGGACTTTTGGAGCGATTTCAGGGCTAAGGTGAAAAAGGAAATATCTTCCCATAAAAACTGGACAGAAGCATTCTCAGAAACTTGTTTATGCTGTATCTACTCAACTAACAAAGTTGAACCTTTCTTTTGATAGAGCAGTTTTGAAATGGTCTTTTTGTGGAATCTGCAAGTGGATATTTGGCTAGTTTTGAGGATTTCGTTGGAAGCGGGAATTCATACAAATTGCAGACTGCAGCGTTCTGAGAAACATCTTTGTGATGTTTGTATTCAGGACACAGAGTTGAACATTCCCTATCATAGAGCAGGTTGGAATCACTCCTTTTGTAGTATCTGGAAGTGGACATTTGGAGCGCTTTCAGGCCTATTTTGGAAAGGGAAATATCTTCCCGTAACAACTATGCAGAAGCATTCTCAGAAACTTGTTTGTGATGTGTGCTCTCTACTGACAGAGTTGAACCTTTCTTTTCATAGAGCAGTTTTGAAACACTCTTTTTGTAGAATCTGCAAGAGGATATTTGCATAGCTTTGAGGGTTTCGTGGGAAACGGGATTGTCTTCAGGTAAAATCTAGACAGAAGCATTCTCAGAAACTTCTTTGGGATGTTTGCATTCAAGTCACAGAGTAGAACATTCCCTTTGGTAGAGCAGGTTTGAAACACTCTTTTTGTAGTATCTGGAAGTGGACATTTGGAACGCTTTCAGGCCTTTGTTGGAAAGGGAAATATCTTCCCTTAACAACTAGGCAGAAGCATTCTCAGAAACTTATTTGAGATGTGTGTACTGAACTAAGAAAATTGAACCACCGTTTTGAAGGACCAGTTTTGAAACACTCTTTTTCTGGAATCTGCTAGAGGATATTTGCCTAGCTTTGAGGATTTCGTTGGAAACTGGATTGTCTTCAGATAAAATCTAGACAGAAGCATTCTCAGAAACTTCTTTGGGATGTTTGCATTCAAGTCACAGAGTAGAACATTCCCTTTGGTAGAGCAGGTTTGAAACACTCTTTTTGTAGTATCTGGAAGTGGACATTTGGAGCGCTTTCAGGCCTATGTTGGAAAGGGAAATATCTTCCCGTAACAACTAGGCAGAAGCATTCTCAGAAACTTATTTGAGATGTGTGTACTCAACTAAGAGAATTGAACCACCGTTTTGAAGGAGCAGTTTTGAAACACTCTTTTTCTGGAATCTGCAAGAGTATATTTGCCTAGCCTTGAGGATTTCGTTGGAAACGGGATTGTCTTCAGAGAAAATCTAGACAGAAGCATTCTCAGAAACTTCTTTGGGATGTTTGCATTCAAGTCACAGAGTAGAACATTCCCTTTGGTAGAGCAGGTTTGAAACACTCTTTTTTTAGTATATGGAAGTGGACATTTGGAGCGCTTTCAGGCCTACGTTGGAAAAGGAAATATCTTCCCATAACAACTAGACAGAAGCATTCTCAGAAACTAGTTTCTGATGTGTGTCCTCAACTAAAACAGTTGTACATTTCTTTACACAGAACAGTTTTGAAACACTCTTTTTGTGGAATCTGCAAGTGGATATTGGGGTAGATTTGAGGATTTCGTTGGAAACGGGATTACATATAAAAAGCAGACAGCAGCATTCTCAGAAAGTTCTTTGTGATGATTGCATTCAAGTCACAGAATTGAACATTCCCTTTCACAGAGCAGGTTTGAAACACTCTTTTTATAGTGTGTGTAAGTGGACATTTGGAGCGCTTTCCGGCCTAAGGTGAAAAAGGACATATTCTTCCCATAAAAACTAGACAGAAGCATTCTCAGAAACTTACTCGTGATGTGTGTCCTCAACTAAAGGAGTAGAACCTTCCTTTTCATAGAGAAGTTTTGAAACGCTCTTTTTGTGGAATCTGCAAGTGGATATTTGGCTAGTTTTGAGGATTTCGTTGGAAGCGGGAATTCATACAAATTGCAGACTGCAGCGTTCTGAGAAACATCTTTGTGATGTTTGTATTCAGGACACAGAGTTGAACATTCCCTATCATAGAGCAGGTTGGAATCACTCCTTTTGTAGTATCTGGAAGTGGACATTTGGAGCGCTTTCAGGCCTATGTTGAAAAAGGAAATATCTTCCCATAACAACTAGACACAAGCATTCTCAGAAACTTGTTTGTGATGTGTGCCCTCTACTGACAGAGTTGAACCTTTCTTTTCATAGAGCAGTTTTGTAACACTCTTTTTGTAGAATCTGCAAGAGGATATTTGCATAGCTTTGAGGATTTCGTGGGAAACCGGATTGTCTTCAGGTAAAATCTAGACAGAAGCATTGTCAGAAACTTCTTTGGGATGTTTGCATTCAAGTCACAGAGTAGAACATTCCCTTTGGTAGAGCAGGTTTGAAACACTCTTTTTGTAGTATCTGGAAGTGGACATTTGGAGCGCTTTCAGGCCTATGTTGGAAAGGGAAATATCTTCCCGTAACAACTAGGCAGAAGCATTCTCAGAAACTTATTTGAGATGTGTGTACTCAACTAAGAGAATTGAACCACCGTTTTGAAGGAGCAGTTTTGAAACACTCTTTTTCTGGAATCTGCAAGAGGATATTTGCCTAGCCTTGAGGATTTCGTTGGAAACGGGATTGTCTTCAGATCAAATCTAGACAGAAGCATTCTCAGAAACTTCTTTGGGATGTTTGCATTCAAGTCACAGAGTAGAACATTCCCTTTGGTAGAGCAGGTTTGAAACACTCTTTTTTTAGTATATGGAAGTGGACATTTGGAGCGCTTTCAGGCCTACGTTGGAAAAGGAAATATCTTCCCATAACAACTAGACAGAAGCATTCTCAGAAACTAGTTTCTGATGTGTGTCCTCAACTAACACAGTTGAACATTTCTTTAGACAGAACAGTTTTGAAACACTCTTTTTGTGGAATCTGCAAGTGGCTATTTGGCTAGATTTGAGGATTTCGTTGGAAACGGGATTACATATAAAAAGCAGACAGCAGCATTCTCAGAAAGTTCTTTGTGATGATTGCATTCAAGTCACAGAATTGAACTTTCCCTTTCACAGAGCAGGTTTGAAACACTCTTTTTGTAGTGTGTGTAAGTGGACATTTGGAGCAATTTCCGGCCTAAGGTGAAAAAGGAAATATCTTCCCATAAAAACTAGACAGATAAGCATTCTCAGAAACTTACTCGTGATGTGTGTACTCAACTAAAGGAGTAGAACCTTTCTTTTCATAGAGAAGTTTTGAAACGCTCTTTTTGTGGAATCTGCAAGTGGATATTTGGCTAGTTTTGAGGATTTCGTTGGAAGCGGGAATTCATACAAATTGCAGACTACAGCATTCTCAGAAACTTATTTGAGATGTGTGTACTCAACTAAGAGAATTGAACCACCGTTTTGAAGGAGCAGTTTTGAAACTCTCTTTTTCTGGAATCTGCAAGTGGATATTTGGCTAGCTTTGGGGATTTCGCTGGAAGCGGGAATACATATAAAAAGCACACAGCAGCGTTCTGAGAAACTGCTTTCTGATGTTTGCATTCAAGTCAAAAGTTGAACACTCCCTTTCATAGAGCAGTCCTGAAACACCCCTTTTGTAGTATCTGGAACTGGACTTTTGGAGCGATTTCAGGGCTAAGGTGAAAAAGGAAATATCTTCCCATAAAAACTGGACAGAAGCATTCTCAGAAACTTGTTTATGCTGTATCTACTCAACTAACAAAGTTGAACCTTTCTTTTGATAGAGCAATTTTGAAATGCTCTTTTTGTGGAATCTGCAAGTGGATATTTGGCTAGTTTTGAGGATTTCGTTGGAAGCGGGAATTCATACAAATTGCAGACTGCAGCGTTCTGAGAAACATCTTTGTGATGTTTGTATTCAGGACAGAGAGTTGAACATTCCCTATCATAGAGCAGGTTGGAATCACTCCTTTTGTAGTATCTGGAAGTGGACATTTGGAGCGCTTTCAGGCCTATGTTGAAAAAGGAAATATCTTCCCATAACAACTAGACACAAGCATTCTCAGAAACTTGTTTGTGATGTGTGCCCTCTACTGACAGAGTTGAACCTTTCTTTTCATAGAGCAGTTTTGAAACACTCTTTTTGTAGAATCTGCAAGAGGATATTAGCATAGCTTTGAGGATTTCGTGGGAAACGGGATTGTCTTCAGGTAAAATCTAGACAGAAGCATTCTCAGAAACTTCTTTGGGATGTTTGCATTCAAGTCACAGAGTAGAACATTCCCTTTGGTAGAGCAGGTTTGAAACACTCTTTTTGTAGTATCTGGAAGTGGACATTTGGAGCGCTTTCAGGCCCATGTTGGAAAGGGAAATATCTTCCCGTAACAACTAGGCAGAAGCATTCTCAGAAACTTATTTGAGATGTGTGTACTCAACTAAGAGAATTGAACCACCGTTTTGAAGGAGCAGTTTTGAAACACTCTTTTTCTGGAATCTGCAAGAGTATATTTGCCTAGCCATGAGGATTTCGTTGGAAACGGGATTGTCTTCAGAGAAAATCTAGACAGAAGCATTCTCAGAAACTTCTTTGGGATGTTTGCATTCAAGTCACAGAGTAGAACATTCCCTTTGGTAGAGCAGGTTTGAAACACTCTTTTTTTAGTATATGGAAGTGGACATTTGGAGCGCTTTCAGGCCTACGTTGGAAAAGGAAATATCTTCCCATAACAACTAGACAGAAGCATTCTCAGAAACTAGTTTCTGATGTGTGTCCTCAACTAACACAGTTGAACATTTCTTTAGACAGAACAGTTTTGAAACACTCTTTTTGTGGAATCTGCAAGTGGCTATTTGGCTAGATTTGAGGATTTCGTTGGAAACGGGATTACATATAAAAAGCAGTCAGCAGCATTCTCAGAAAGTTCTTTGTGATGATTGCATTCAAGTCACAGAATTGAACATTCCCTTTCACAGAGCAGGTTTGAAACACTCTTTTTGTAGTGTGTGTAAGTGGACATTTGGAGCACTTACCGGCCTAAGGTGAAAAAGGAAATATCTTCCCATAAAAACTAGACAGAAGCATTCTCAGAAACTTACTCGTGATGTGTGTCCTCAACTAAAGGAGTAGAACCTTTCTTTTCATAGAGAAGTTTTGAAACGCTCTTTTTGTGGAATCTGCAAGTGGATATTTGGCTAGTTTTGAGGATTTCGTTGGAAGCGGGAATTCATACAAATTGCAGACTGCAGCGTTCTGAGAAACATCTTTGTGATGTTTGTATTCAGGACACAGAGTTGAACATTCCCTATCATAGAGCAGGTTGGAATCACTCCTTTTGTAGTATCTGGAAGTGGACATTTGGAGCGCTTTCAGGCCTATGTTGGAAAAGGAAATATCTTCCCATAACAACTAGACAGAAGCATTCTCAGAAACTTATTTGAGATGTGTGTACTCAACTAAGAGAATTGAACCACCGTTTTGAAGGAGCAGTTTTGAAACTCTCTTTTTCTGGAATCTGCAAGTGGATATTTGGCTAGCTTTGGGGATTTCGCTGGAAGCGGGAATACATATAAAAAGCACACAGCAGCGTTCTGAGAAACTGCTTTCTGATGTTTGCATTCAAGTCAAAAGTTGAACACTCCCTTTCATAGAGCAGTCTTGAAATACCCGTTTTGTAGTATCTGGAACTGGACTTTTGGAGCGATTTCAGGGCTAAGGTGAAAAAGGAAATATCTTCCCATAAAAACTGGACAGAAGCATTCTCAGAAACTTGTTTATGCTGTATCTACTCAACTAACAAAGTTGAACCTTTCTTTTGATAGAGCAGTTTTGAAATGGTCTTTTTGTGGAATCTGCAAGTGGATATTTGGCTAGTTTTGAGGATTTCGTTGGAAGCGGGAATTCATACAAATTGCAGACTGCAGCGTTCTGAGAAACATCTTTGTGATGTTTGTATTCAGGACAGAGAGTTGAATATTCCCTATCATAGAGCAGGTTGGAATCACTCCTTTTGTAGTATCTGGAAGTGGACATTTGGAGCGCTTTCAGGCCTATGTTGAAAAAGGAAATATCTTCCCATAACAACTAGACACAAGCATTCTCAGAAACTTGTTTGTGATGTGTGCCCTCAACTGACAGAGTTGAACCTTTCTTTTCATAGAGCAGTTTTGAAACACTCTTTTTGTAGAATCTGCAAGAGGATATTTGCATAGCTTTGAGGATTTCGTGGGAAACGGGATTGTCTTCAGGTAAAATCTAGACAGAAGCATTCTCAGAAACTTCTTTGGGATGTTTGCATTCAAGTCACAGAGTAGAACATTCCCTTTGGTAGAGCAGGTTTGAAACACTCTTTTTGTAGTATCTGGAAGTGGACATTTGGAGCGCTTTCAGGCCCATGTTGGAAAGGGAAATATCTTCCCGTAACAACTAGGCAGAAGCATTCTCAGAAACTTATTTGAGATGTGTGTACTCAACTAAGAGAATTGAACCACCGTTTTGAAGGAGCAGTTTGGAAACACTCTTTTTCTGGAATCTGCAAGAGTATATTTGCCTAGCCTTGACGATTTCGTTGGAAACGTGGTTGTCTTCAGATAAAATCTAGACAGAAGCATTCTCAGAAACTTCTTTGGGATGCTTGCATTCAAGTCACAGAGTAGAACATTCCCTTTGGTAGAGCAGGTTTGAAACACTCTTTTTGTAGTATCTGGAAGTGGACATTTGGAGCGCTTTCAGGCCTACGTTGGAAAAGGAAATATCTTCCCATAACAACTAGACAGAAGCATTCTCAGAAACTAGTTTCTGATGTGTGTCCTCAACTAACACAGTTGAACATTTCTTTAGACAGAACAGTTTTGAAACACTCTTTTTGTGGAATCTGCAAGTGGCTATTTGGCTAGATTTGAGGATTTCGTTGGAAACGGGATTACATATAAAAAGCAGTCAGCGGCATTCTCAGAAAGTTCTTTGTGATGATTGCATTCAAGTCACAGAATTGAACATTCCCTTTCACAGAGCAGGTTTGAAACACTCTTTTTGTAGTGTGTGTAAGTGGACATTTGGAGCACTTACCGGCCTAAGGTGAAAAAGGAAATAATCTTCCCATAAAAACTAGACAGAAGCATTCTCAGAAACTTACTCGTGATGTGTGTCCTCAACTAAAGGAGTAGAACCTTTCTTTTCATAGAGAAGTTTTGAAACGCTCTTTTTGTGGAATCTGCAAGTGGATATTTGGCTAGTTTGGAGGATTTCGTTGGAAGCGGGAATTCATACAAATTGCAGACTGCAGCGTTCTGAGAAACATCTTTGTGATGTTTGTATTCAGGACACAGAGTTGAACATTCCCTATCATAGAGCAGGTTTGAATCACTCCTTTTGTAGTATCTGGAAGTGGACATTTTGGAGCGCTTTCAGGCCTATGTTGGAAAAGGAAATATCTTCCCATAACAACTAGACAGAAGCATTCTCAGAAACTTATTTGAGATGTGTGTACTCAACTAAGAGAATTGAACCACCGTTTTGAAGGAGCAGTTTTGAAACTCTCTTTTTCTGGAATCTGCAAGTGGATATTTGGCTAGCTTTGGGGATTTCGCTGGAAGCGGGAATACATATAAAAAGCACACAGCAGCGTTCTGAGAAACTGCTTTCTGATGTTTGCATTCAAGTCAAAAGTTGAACACTCCCTTTCATAGAGCAGTCTTGAAACACCCCTTTTGTAGTATCTGGAACTGGACTTTTGGAGCGATTTCAGGGCTAAGGTGAAAAAGGAAATATCTTCCCATAAAAACTGGACAGAAGCATTCTCAGAAACTTGTTTATGCTGTATCTACTCAACTAACAAAGTTGAACCTTTCTTTTGATAGAGCAGTTTTGAAATGGTCTTTTTGTGGAATCTGCAAGTGGATATTTGGCTAGTTTTGAGGATTTCGTTGGAAGCGGGAATTCATACAAATTGCAGACTGCAGCGTTCTGAGAAACATCTTTGTGATGTTTGTATTCAGGACACAGAGTTGAACATTCCCTATCATAGAGCAGGTTGGAATCACTCCTTTTGTAGTATCTGGAAGTGGACATTTGGAGCGCTTTCAGGCCTATTTTGGAAAGGGAAATATCTTCCCGTAACAACTATGCAGAAGCATTCTCAGAAACTTGTTTGTGATGTGTGCCCTCTACTGACAGAGTTGAACCTTTCTTTTCATAGAGCAGTTTTGAAACACTCTTTTTGTAGAATCTGCAAGAGGATATTTGCATAGCTTTGAGGATTTCGTGGGAAACGGGATTGTCTTCAGGTAAAATCTAGACAGAAGCGTTCTCAGAAACTTCTTTGGGATGTTTGCATTCAAGTCACAGAGTAGAACATTCCCTTTGGTAGAGCAGGTTTGAAACACTCTTTTTGTAGTATCTGGAAGTGGACATTTGGAGCGCTTTCAGGCCCATGTTGGAAAGGGAAATATCTTCCCGTAACAACTAGGCAGAAGCATTCTCAGAAACTTATTTGAGATGTGTGTACTCAACTAAGAGAATTGAACCACCGTTTTGAAGGCGCAGTTTTGAAACACTCTTTTTCTGGAATCTGCAAGAGTATATTTGCCTAGCCTTGAGGATTTCGTTGGAAACGGGATTGTCTTCAGAGAAAATCTAGACAGAAGCATTCTCAGAAACTTCTTTGGGATGTTTGCATTCAAGTCACAGAGTAGAACATTCCCTTTGGTAGAGCAGGTTTGAAACACTCTTTTTTTAGTATATGGAAGTGGACATTTGGAGCGCTTTCAGGCCTACGTTGGAAAAGGAAATATCTTCCCATAACAACTAGACAGAAGCATTCTCAGAAACTAGTTTCTGATGTGTGTCCTCAACTGACACAGTTGTACATTTCTTTAGACAGAACAGTTTTGAAACACTCTTTTTGTGGAATCTGCAAGTGGATATTGGGCTAGATTTGAGGATTTCGTTGGAAACGGGATTACATATAAAAAGCAGACAGCAGCATTCTCAGAAAGTTCTTTGTGATGATTGCATTCAAGTCACAGAATTGAACATTCCCTTTCACAGCAGCAGGTTTGAAACACTCTTTTTGTAGTGTGTGTAAGTGGACATTTGGAGCACTTTCCGGCCTAAGGTGAAAAAGGAAATATCTTCCCATAAAAACTAGACAGAAGCATTCTCAGAAACTTACTCGTGATGTGTGTCCTCAACTAAAGGAGTAGAACCTTTCTTTTCATAGAGAAGTTTTGAAACGCTCTTTTTGTGGAATCTGCAAGTGGATATTTGGCTAGTTTTGAGGATTTCGTTGGAAGCGGGAATTCATACAAATTGCAGACTGCAGCGTTCTGAGAAACATCTTTGTGATGTTTGTATTCAGGACACAGAGTTGAACATTCCCTATCATAGAGCAGGTTTGAATCACTCCTTTTGTAGTATCTGGAAGTGGACATTTGGAGCGCTTTCAGGCCTATGTTGGAAAAGGAAATATCTTCCCATAACAACTAGACAGAAGCATTCTCAGAAACTTATTTGAGATGTGTGTACTCAACTAAGAGAATTGAACCACCGTTTTGAAGGAGCAGTTTTGAAACTCTCTTTTTCTGGAATCTGCAAGTGGATATTTGGCTAGCTTTGGGGATTTCGCTGGAAGCGGGAATACATATAAAAAGCACACAGCAGCGTTCTGAGAAACTGCTTTCTGATGTTTGCATTCAAGTCAAAAGTTGAACACTCCCTTTCATAGGGCAGTCCTGAAACACCCCTTTTGTAGTATCTGGAACTGGACTTTTGGAGCGATTTCAGGGCTAAGGTGAAAAAGGAAATATCTTCCCATAAAAACTGGACAGAAGCATTCTCAGAAACTTGTTTATGCTGTATCTACTCAACTAACAAAGTTGAACCTTTCTTTTGATAGAGCAGTTTTGAAATGGTCTTTTTGTGGAATCTGCAAGTGGATATTTGGCTAGTTTTGAGGATTTCGTTGGAAGCGGGAATTCATACAAATTGCAGACTGCAGCGTTCTGAGAAACATCTTTGTGATGTTTGTATTCAGGACACAGAGTTGAACATTCCCTATCATAGAGCAGGTTGGAATCACTCCTTTTGTAGTATCTGGAAGTGGACATTTGGAGCGCTTTCAGGTCTATTTTGGAAAGGGAAATATCTTCCCGTAACAACTATGCAGAAGCATTCTCAGAAACTTGTTTGTGATGTGTGCCCTCTACTGACAGAGTTGAACCTTTCTTTTCATAGAGCAGTTTTGAAACACTCTTTTTGTAGAATCTGCAAGAGGATATTTGCATAGCTTTGAGGATTTCGTGGGAAACGGGATTGTCTTCAGGTAAAATCTAGACAGAAGCATTCTCAGAAACTTCTTTGGGATGTTTGCATTCAAGTCACAGAGTAGAACATTCCCTTTGGTAGAGCAGGTTTGAAACACTCTTTTTGTAGTATCTGGAAGTGGACATTTGGAGCGCTTTCAGGCCTATGTTGGAAAGGGAAATATCTTCCGGTAACAACTAGGCAGAAGCATTCTCAGAAACTTATTTGAGATGTGTGTACTCAACTAAGAGAATTGAACCACCGTTTTGAAGGAGCAGTTTTGAAACACTCTTTTTCTGGAATCTGCAAGAGTATATTTGCCTAGCCTTGAGGATTTCGTTGGAAACGGGATTGTCTTCAGATCAAATCTAGACAGAAGCATTCTCAGAAACTTCTTTGGGATGTTTGCATTCAAGTCACAGAGTAGAACATTCCCTTTGGTAGAGCAGGTTTGAAACACTCTTTTTTTAGTATATGGAAGTGGACATTTGGAGCGCTTTCAGGCCTACGTTGGAAAAGGAAATATCTTCCCATAACAACTAGACAGAAGCATTCTCAGAAACTAGTTTCTGATGTGTGTCCTCAACTAACACAGTTGAACATTTCTTTAGACAGAACAGTTTTGAAACTCTCTTTTTGTGGAATCTGCAAGTGGATATTTGGCTAGATTTGAGGATTTCGTTGGAAACGGGATTACATATAAAAAGCAGACAGCAGCATTCTCAGAAAGTTCTTTGTGATGATTGCATTCAAGTCACAGAATTGAACATTCCCTTTCACAGAGCAGGTTTGAAACACTCTTTTTGTAGTGTGTGTAAGTGGACATTTGGAGCACTTTCCGGCCTAAGGTGAAAAAGGAAATATCTTCCCATAAAAACTAGACAGAAGCATTCTCAGAAACTTACTCGTGATGTGTGTCCTCAACTAAAGGAGTAGAACCTTTCTTTTCATAGAGAAGTTTTGAAACGCTCTTTTTGTGGAATCTGCAAGTGGATATTTGGCTAGTTTTGAGGATTTCGTTGGAAGCGGGAATTCATACAAATTGCCGACTGCAGCGTTCTGAGAAACATCTTTGTGATGTTTGTATTCAGGACACAGAGTTGAACATTCCCTATCATAGAGCAGGTTTGAATCACTCCTTTTGTAGTATCTGGAAGTGGACATTTGGAGCGCTTTCAGGCCTATGTTGGAAAAGGAAATATCTTCCCATAACAACTAGACAGAAGCATTCTCAGAAACTTATTTGAGATGTGTGTACTCAACTAAGAGAATTGAACCACCGTTTTGAAGGAGCAGTTTTGAAACTCTCTTTTTCTGGAATCTGCAAGTGGATATTTGGCTAGCTTTGGGGATTTCGCTGGAAGCGGGAATACATATAAAAAGCACACAGCAGCGTTCTGAGAAACTGCTTTCTGATGTTTGCATTCAAGTCAAAAGTTGAACACTCCCTTTCATAGAGCAGTCTTGAAACACCCCTTTTGTAGTATCTGGAACTGGACTTTTGGAGCGATTTCAGGGCTAAGGTGAAAAAGGAAATATCTTCCCATAAAAACTGGACAGAAGCATTCTCAGAAACTTGGTTATGCTGTATCTACTCAACTAACAAAGTTGAACCTTTCTTTTGATAGAGCAGTTTTGAAATGGTCTTTTTGTGGAATCTGCAAGTGGATATTTGGCTAGTTTTGAGGATTTCGTTGGAAGCGGGAATTCATACAAATTGCAGACTGCAGCGTTCTGAGAAACATCTTTGTGATGTTTGTATTCAGGACACAGAGTTGAACATTCCCTATCATAGAGCAGGTTGGAATCACTCCTTTTGTAGTATCTGGAAGTGGACATTTGGAGCGCTTTCAGGCCTATTTTGGAAAGGGAAATATCTTCCCGTAACAACTATGCAGAAGCATTCTCAGAAACTTGTTTGTGATGTGTGCCCTCTACTGACAGAGTTGAACCTTTCTTTTCATAGAGCAGTTTTGAAACACTCTTTTTGTAGAATCTGCAAGAGGATATTTGCATAGCTTTGAGGATTTCGTGGGAAACGGGATTGTCTTCAGGTAAAATCTAGACAGAAGCATTCTCAGAAACTTCTTTGGGATGTTTGCATTCAAGTCACAGAGTAGAACATTCCCTTTGGTAGAGCAGGTTTGAAACACTCTTTTTGTAGTATCTGGAAGTGGACATTTGGAGCGCTTTCAGGCCCATGTTGGAAAGGGAAATATCTTCCCGTAACAACTAGGCAGAAGCATTCTCAGAAACTTATTTGAGATGTGTGTACTCAACGAAGAGAATTGAACCACCGTTTTGAAGGAGCAGTTTTGAAACCCTCTTTTTCTGGAATCTGCAAGAGTATATTTGCCTAGCCTTGAGGATTTCGTTGGAAACGGGATTGTCTTCAGATAAAATCTAGACAGAAGCATTCTCAGAAACTTCTTTGGGATGTTTGCATTCAAGTCACAGAGTAGAACATTCCCTTTGGTAGAGCAGGTTTGAAACACTCTTTTTTTAGTATATGGAAGTGGACATTTGGAGCGCTTTCAGGCCTACGTTGGAAAAGGAAATATCTTCCCATAACAACTAGACAGAAGCATTCTCAGAAACTAGTTTCTGATGTGTGTCCTCAACTAACACAGTTGAACTTTTCTTTAGACAGAACAGTTTTGAAACACTCTTTTTGTGGAATCTGCAAGTGGATATTGGGTTAGATTTGAGGATTTCGTTGGAAAGGGGATTACATATAAAAAGCAGACAGCAGCATTCTCAGAAAGTTGTTTGTGATGATTGCATTCAAGTCACAGAATTGAACATTCCCTTTCACAGAGCAGGTTTGAAACACTCTTTTTGTAGTGTGTGTAAGTGGACATTTGGAGCGCTTTCCGGCCTAAGGTGAAAAAGGACATATCTTCCCATAAAAACTAGACAGAAGCATTCTCAGAAACTTACTCGTGATGTGTGTCCTCAACTAAAGGAGTAGAACCTTTCTATTCATAGAGAAGTTTTGAAACGCTCTTTTTGTGGAATCTCCAAGTGGATATTTGCCTAGTTTTGAGGATTTCGTTGGAAGCGGGAATTCATACAAATTGCAGACTGCAGCGTTCTGAGAAACATCTTTGTGATGTTTGTATTCAAGACACAGAGATGAACATTCCCTATCATAGAGCATGTTGGAATCACTCCTTTTGTAGTATCTGGAAGTGGACATTTGGAGCGCTTTCAGGCCTATGTTGAAAAAGGAAATATCTTCCCATAAAAACTAGACACAAGCATTCTCAGAAACTTGTTTGTGATGTGTGCCCTCTACTGACAGAGTTGAACCTTTCTTTTCATAGAGCAGTTTTGAAACACTCTTTTTGTAGAATCCGCAAGAGGATATTTGCATAGCTTTGAGGATTTCGTGGGAAACGGGATTGTCTTCAGGTAAAATCTAGACAGAAGCATTCTCAGAAACTTCTTTGGGATGTTTGCATTCAAGTCACAGAGTAGAACATTCCCTTTGGTAGAGCAGGTTTGAAACACTCTTTTTGTAGTATCTGGAAGTGGACATTTGGAGCGCTTTCAGGACCATGTTGGAAAGGGAAATATCTTCCCGTAACAACTAGGCAGAAGCATTCTCAGAAACTTATTTGAGATGTGTGTACTCAACTAAGAGAATTGAACCACCGTTTTGAAGGAGCAGTTTTGAAACCCTCTTTTTCTGGAATCTGCAAGAGTATATTTGCCTAACCTTGAGGATTTCGTTGGAAACGGGATTGTCTTCAGATAAAATCTAGACAGAAGCATTCTCAGAAACTTCTTTGGGATGTTTGCATTCAAGTCACAGAGTAGAACATTCCCTTTGGTAGAGCAGGTTTGAAACAGTCTTTTTTTAGTATATGGAAGTGGACATTTGGAGCGCTTTCAGGCCTACGTTGGAAAAGGAAATATCTTCCCATAACAACTAGACAGAAGCATTCTCAGAAACTAGTTTCTGATGTGTGTCCTCAACTAACACAGTTGTACATTTCTTTAGACAGAACAGTTTTGAAACACTCTTTTTGTGGAATCTGCAAGTGGATATTGGGCTAGATTTGAGGATTTCGTTGGAAACGGGATTACATATAAATAGCAGTCAGCAGCATTCTCAGAAAGTTCTTTGTGATGATTGCATTCAAGTCACAGAATTGAACATTCCCTTTCACAGAGCAGGTTTGAAACACTCTTTTTGTAGTGTGTGTAAGTGGACATTTGGAGCGCTTTCCGGCCTAAGGTGAAAAAGGACATATCTTCCCATAAAAACTAGACAGAAGCATTCTCAGAAACTTACTCGTGATGTGTGTCCTCAACTAAAGGAGTAGAACCTTTCTATTGATAGAGAAGTTTTGAAACGCTCTTTTTGTGGAATCTCCAAGTGGATATTTGGCTAGTTTTGAGGATTTCGTTGGAAGCGGGAATTCATACAAATTGCAGACTGCAGCGTTCTGAGAAACATCTTTGTGATGTTTGTATTCAAGACACAGAGATGAACATTCCCTATCATAGAGCATGTTGGAATCACTCCTTTTGTAGTATCTGGAAGTGGACATTTGGAGCGCTTTCAGGCCTATGTTGAAAAAGGAAATATCTTCCCATAACAACTAGACACAAGCATTCTCAGAAACTTGTTTGTGATGTGTGCCCTCTACTGACAGAGTTGAACCTTTCTTTTCATAGAGCAGTTTTGAAACACTCTTTTTGTAGAATCCGCAAGAGGATATTTGCATAGCTTTGAGGATTTCGTGGGAAACGGGATTGTCTTCAGGTAAAATCTAGACAGAAGCATTCTCAGAAACTTCTTTGGGATGTTTGCATTCAAGTCACAGAGTAGAACATTCCCTTTGGTAGAGCAGGTTTGAAACACTCTTTTTGTAGTATCTGGAAGTGGACATTTGGAGCGCTTTCAGGCCCATGTTGGAAAGGGAAATATCTTCCCGTAACAACTAGGCAGAAGCATTCTCAGAAACTTATTTGAGATGTGTGTACTCAACTAAGAGAATTGAACCACGGTTTTGAAGGAGCAGTTTTGAAACACTCTTTTTCTGGAATCTGCAAGAGTATATTTGCCTAGCCTTGAGGATTTCGTTGGAAACGGGATTGTCTTCAGATAAAATCTAGACAGAAGCATTCTCAGAAACTTCTTTGGGATGTTTGCATTCAAGTCACAGAGTAGAACATTCCCTTTGGTAGAGCAGGTTTGAAACACTCTTTTTTTAGTATATGGAAGTGGACATTTGGAGCGCTTTCAGGCCTACGTTGGAAAAGGAAATATCTTCCCATAACAACTAGACAGAAGCATTCTCAGAAACTAGTTTCTGATGTGTGTCCTCAACTAACACAGTTGAACATTTCTTTAGACAGAACAGTTTTGAAACTCTCTTTTTGTGGAATCTGCAAGTGGCTATTTGGCTAGATTTGAGGATTTCATTGGAAACGGGATTACATATAAAAAGCAGACAGCAGCATTCTCAGAAAGTTCTTTGTGATGATTGCATTCAAGTCACAGAATTGAACATTTCCTTTCACAGAGCAGGTTTGAAACACTCTTTTTATAGTGTGTGTAAGTGGACATTTGGAGCACTTTCCGGCCTAAGGTGAAAAAGGAAATATCTTCCCATAAAAACTAGACAGAAGCATTCTCAGAAACTTACTCGTGATGTGTGTCCTCAACTAAAGGAGTAGAACCTTTCTTTTCATAGAGAAGTTTTGAAACGCTCTTTTTGTGGAATCTGCAAGTGGATATTTGGCTAGTTTTGAGGATTTCGTTGGAAGCGGGAATTCATACAAATTGCAGACTGCAGCGTTCTGAGAAACATCTTTGTGATGTTTGTATTCAGGACACAGAGTTGAACATTCCCTATCATAGAGCAGGTTTGAATCACTCCTTTTGTAGTATCTGGAAGTGGACATTTGGAGCGCTTTCAGGCCTATGTTGGAAAAGGAAATATCTTCCCAAAACAACTAGACAGAAGCATTCTCAGAAACTTATTTGAGATGTGTGTACTCAACTAAGAGAATTGAACCACCGTTTTGAAGGAGCAGTTTTGAAACACTCTTTTTCTGGAATCTGCAAGTGGATATTTGGCTAGCTTTGGGGATTTCGCTGGAAGCGGGAATACATATAAAAAGCACACAGCAGCGTTCTGAGAAACTGCTTTCTGATGTTTGCATTCAAGTCAAAAGTTGAACACTCCCTTTCATAGAGCAGTCTTGAAACACCCCTTTTGTAGTATCTGGAACTGGACATTTGGAGCGCTTTCAGGGCTAAGGTGAAAAAGGAAATATCTTCCCATAAAAACTGGACAGAAGCATTCTCAGAAACTTGTTTATGCTGTATCTACTCAACTAACAATGTTGAACCTTTCTTTTGATAGAGCAGTTTTGAAATGCTCTTTTTGTGGAATCTGCAAGTGGATATTTGGCTAGTTTTGAGGATTTCGTTGGAAGCGGGAATTCATACAAATTGCAGACTGCAGCGTTCTGAGAAACATCTTTGTGATGTTTGTATTCAGGACAGAGAGTTGAACATTCCCTATCATAGAGCAGGTTGGAATCACTCCTTTTGTAGTATCTGGAAGTGGACATTTGGAGCGCTTTCAGGCCTATGTTGAAAAAGGAAATATCTTCCCATAACAACTAGACACAAGCATTCTCAGAAACTTGTTTGTGATGTGTGCCCTCTACTGACACAGTTGAACCTTTCTTTTCATAGAGCAGTTTTGAAACACTCTTTTTGTAGAATCTGCAAGAGGATATTTGCATAGCTTTGAGGATTTCGTGGGAAACGGGATTGTCTTCAGGTAAAATCTAGACAGAAGCATTCTCAGAAACTTCTTTGGGATGTTTGCATTCAAGTCACAGAGTAGAACATTCCCTTTGGTAGAGCAGGTTTGAAACACTCTTTTTGTAGTATCTGGAAGTGGACATTTGGAGCGCTTTCAGGCCTATGTTGGAAAGGGAAATATCTTCCCGTAACAACTAGGCAGAAGCATTCTCAGAAACTTATTTGAGATGTGTGTACCCAACTAAGAGAATTGAACCACCGTTTTGAAGGAGCAGTTTTGAAACACTCTTTTTCTGGAATCTGCAAGAGGATATTTGCCTAGCCTTGAGGATTTCGTTGGAAACGGGATTGTCTTCAGATCAAATCTAGACAGAAGCATTCTCAGAAACTTCTTTGGGATGTTTGCATTCAAGTCACAGAGTAGAACATTCCCTTTGGTAGAGCAGGTTTGAAACACTCTTTTTTTAGTATATGGAAGTGGACATTTGGAGCGCTTTCAGGCCTACGTTGGAAAAGGAAATATCTTCCCATAACAACTAGACAGAAGCATTCTCAGAAACTAGTTTCTGATGTGTGTCCTCAACTAACACAGTTGAACATTTCTTTAGACAGAACAGTTTTGAAACACTCTTTTTGTGGAATCTGCAAGTGGCTATTTGGCTAGATTTGAGGATTTCGTTGGAAACGGGATTACATATGAAAAGCAGACAGCAGCATTCTCAGAAAGTTCTTTGTGATGATTGCATTCAAGTCACAGAATTGAACATTCCCTTTCACAGAGCAGGTTTGAAACACTCTTTTTGTAGTGTGTGTAAGTGGACATTTGGAGCACTTTCCGGCCTAAGGTGAAAAAGGAAATATCTTCCCATACAAACTAGACAGAAGCATTCTCAGAAACTTACTCGTGATGTGTGTCCTCCACTAAATGAGTAGAACCTTTCTTTTCATAGAGAAGTTTTGAAACGCTCTTTTTGTAGAATCTGCAAGAGGATATTTGCATAGCTTTGAGGATTTCGTGGGAAACGGGATTGTCTTCAGGTAAAATCTAGACAGAAGCATTCTCAGAAACTTCTTTGGGATGTTTGCATTCAAGTCACAGAGTAGAACATTCCCTTTGGTAGAGCAGGTTTGAAACACTCTTTTTATAGTATCTGGAAGTGGACATTTGGAGCGCTTTCAGGCCTATGTTGGAAAGGGAAATATCTTCCCGTAACAACTAGGCAGAAGCATTCTCAGAAACTTATTTGAGATGTGTGTACTCAACTAAGAGAATTGAACCACCGTTTTGAAGGAGCAGTTTTGAAACACTCTTTTTCTGGAATCTGCAAGAGGATATTTGCCTAGCTTTGAGGATTTCGTTGGAAACGGGATTGTGTTCAGATCAAATCTAGACAGAAGCATTCTCAGAAACTTCTTTGGGATGTTTGCATTCAAGTCACAGAGTAGAACATTCCCTTTGGTAGAGCAGGTGTGAAACACTCTTTTTTTAGTATATGGAAGTGGACATTTGGAGCGCTTTCAGGCCTACGTTGGAAAACGAAATATCTTCCCATAACAACTAGACAGAAGCATTCTCAGAAACTAGTTTCTGATGTGTGTCCTCAACTAACACAGTTGAACATTTCTTTAGACAGAACAGTTTTGAAACTCTCTTTTTGTGGAATCTGCAAGTGACTATTTGGCTAGATTTGAGGATTTCGTTGGAAACGGGATTACATATAAAAAGCAGACAGCGGCATTCTCAGAAAGTTCTTTGAGATGATTGCATTCAAGTCACAGAATTGAACATTCCCTTTCACAGAGCAGGTTTGAAACACTCTTTTTGTAGTGTGTGTAAGTGGACATTTGGAGCACTTACCGGCCTAAGGTGAAAAAGGAAATAATCTTCCCATAAAAACTAGACAGAAGCATTCTCAGAAACTTACTCGTGATGTGTGTCCTCAACTAAAGGAGTAGAACCTTTCTTTTCATAGAGAAGTTTTGAAACGCTCTTTTTGTGGAATCTGCAAGTGGATATTTGGCTAGTTTTGAGGATTTCGTTGGAAGCGGGAATTCATACAAATTGCAGACTGCAGCGTTCTGAGAAACATCTTTGTGATGTTTGTATTCAGGACACAGAGTTGAACATTCCCTATCATAGAGCAGGTTTGAATCACTCCTTTTGTAGTATCTGGAAGTGGACATTTGGAGCGCTTTCAGGCCTATGTTGGAAAAGGAAATATCTTCCCATAACAACTAGACAGAAGCATTCTCAGAAACTTATTTGAGATGTGTGTACTCAACTAAGAGAATTGAACCACCGTTTTGAAGGAGCAGTTTTGAAACTCTCTTTTTCTGGAATCTGCAAGTGGATATTTGGCTAGCTTTGGGGATTTCGCTGGAAGCGGGAATACATATAAAAAGCACACAGCAGCGTTCTGAGAAACTGCTTTCTGATGTTTGCATTCAAGTCAAAAGTTGAACACTCCCTTTCATAGAGCAGTCTTGAAACACCCCTTTTGTAGTATCTGGAACTGGACTTTTGGAGCGATTTCAGGGCTAAGGTGAAAAAGGAAATATCTTCCCATAAAAACTGGACAGAAGCATTCTCAGAAACTTGTTTATGCTGTATCTACTCAACTAACAAAGTTGAACCTTTCTTTTGATAGAGCAGTTTTGAAATGGTCTTTTTGTGGAATCTGCAAGTGGATATTTGGCTAGTTTTGAGGATTTCGTTGGAAGCGGGAATTCATACAAATTGCAGACTGCAGCGTTCTGAGAAACATCTTTGTGATGTTTGTATTCAGGACAGAGAGTTGAACATTCCCTATCATAGAGCAGGTTGGAATCACTCCTTTTGTAGTATCTGGAAGTGGACATTTGGAGCGCTTTCAGGCCTATGTTGAAAAAGGAAATATCTTCCCATAACAACTAGACACAAGCATTCTCAGAAACTTGTTTGTGATGTGTGCCCTCTACTGACAGAGTTGAACCTTTCTTTTCATAGAGCAGTTTTGAAACACTCTTTTTGTAGAATCTGCAAGAGGATATTTGCATAGCTTTGAGGATTTCGTGGGAAACGGGATTGTCTTCAGGTAAAATCTAGACAGAAGCATTCTCAGAAACTTCTTTGGGATGTTTGCATTCAAGTCACAGAGCAGAACATTCCCTTTGGTAGAGCAGATTTGAAACACTCTTTTTGTAGTATCTGGAAGTGGACATTTGGAGCGCTTTCAGGCCTATGTTGGAAAGGGAAATATCTTCCCGTAACAACTAGGCAGAAGCATTCTCAGAAACTTATTTGAGATGTGTGTACTCAACTAAGAGAATTGAACCACCGTTTTGAAGGAGCAGTTTTGAAACACTCTTTTTCTGGAATCTGCAAGAGGATATTTGCCTAGCCTTGAGGATTTCGTTGGAAACGGGATTGTCTTCAGATCAAATCTAGACAGAAGCATTCTCAGAAACTTCTTTGGGATGTTTGCATTCAAGTCACAGAGTAGAACATTCCCTTTGGTAGAGCAGGTTTGAAACACTCTTTTTTTAGTATATGGAAGTGGACATTTGGAGCGCTTTCAGGCCTACGTTGGAAAAGGAAATATCTTCCCATAACAACTAGACAGAAGCATTCTCAGAAACTAGTTTCTGATGTGTGTCCTCAACTAACACAGTTGAACATTTCTTTAGACAGAACAGTTTTGAAACACTCTTTTTGTGGAATCTGCAAGTGGCTATTTGGCTAGATTTGAGGATTTCGTTGGAAACGGGATTACATATAAAAAGCAGACAGCAGCATTCTCAGAAAGTTCTTTGTGATGATTGCATTCAAGTCACAGAATTGAACATTCCCTTTCACAGAGCAGGTTTGAAACACTCTTTTTGTAGTGTGTGTAAGTGGACATTTGGAGCACTTTCCGGCCTAAGGTGAAAAAGGAAATATCTTCCCATAAAAACTAGACAGAAGCATTCTCAGAAACTTACTCGTGATGTGTGTCCTCAACTAAAGGAGTAGAACCTTTCTTTTTCATAGAGAAGTTTTGAAACGCTCTTTTTGTGGAATCTGCAAGTGGATATTTGGCTAGTTTTGAGGATTTCGTTGGAAGCGGGAATTCATACAAATTGCAGACTGCAGCGTTCTGAGAAACATCTTTGTGATGTTTGTATTCAGGACACAGAGTTGAACATTCCCTATCATAGAGCAGGTTTGAATCACTCCTTTTGTAGTATCTGGAAGTGGACATTTGGAGCGCTTTCAGGCCTATGTTGGAAAAGGAAATATCTTCCCATAACAACTAGACAGAAGCATTCTCAGAAACTTATTTGAGATGTGTGTACTCAACTAAGAGAATTGAACCACCGTTTTGAAGGAGCAGTTTTGAAACACTCTTTTTCTGGAATCTGCAAGTGGATATTTGGCTAGCTTTGGGGATTTCGCTGGAAGCGGGAATACATATAAAAAGCACACAGCAGCGTTCTGAGAAACTGCTTTCTGATGTTTGCATTCAAGTCAAAAGTTGAACACTCCCTTTCATAGAGCAGTCCTGAAACACTCCTTTTGTAGTATCTGGAACTGGAATTTTGGAGCGCTTTCAGGGCTAAGGTGAAAAAGGAAATATCTTCCCATAAAAACTGGACAGAAGCATTCTCAGAAACTTGTTTATGCTGTATCTACTCAACTAACAAAGTTGAACCTTTCTTTTGATAGAGCAGTTTTGAAATGCTCTTTTTGTGGAATCTGCAAGTGGATATTTGGCTAGTTTTGAGGATTTCGTTGGAAGCGGGAATTCATACAAATTGCAGACTGCAGCGTTCTGAGAAACATCTTTGTGATGTTTGTATTCAGGACAGAGAGTTGAACATTCCCTATCATAGAGCAGGTTGGAATCACTCCTTTTGTAGTATCTGGAAGTGGACATTTTAGCGCTTTCAGGCCTATGTTGAAAAAGGAAATATCTTCCCATAACAACTAGACACAAGCATTCTCAGAAATTTGTTTGTGATGTGTGCCCTCTACTGACAGAGTTGAACCTTTCTTTTCATAGAGCAGTTTTGAAACACTCTTTTTGTAGAATCTGCAAGAGGATATTTGCATAGCTTTGAGGATTTCGTGGGAAACGGGATTGTCTTCAGGTAAAATCTAGACAGAAGCATTCTCAGAAACTTCTTTGGGATGTTTGCATTCAAGTCACAGAGTAGAACATTCCCTTTGGTAGAGCAGGTTTGAAACACTCTTTTTGTAGTATCTGGAAGTGGACATTTGGAGCGCTTTCAGGCCTATGTTGGAAAGGGAAATATCTTCCCGTAACAACTAGGCAGAAGCATTCTCAGAAACTTATTTGAGATGTGTGTACTCAACTAAGAGAATTGAACCACCGTTTTGAAGGAGCAGTTTTGAAACACTCTTTTTCTGGAATCTGCAAGAGGATATTTGCCTAGCCTTGAGGATTTCGTTGGAAACGGGATTGTCTTCAGATCAAATCTAGACAGAAGCATTCTCAGAAAGTTCTTTGTGATGATTGCATTCAAGTCACAGAATTGAACATTCCCTTTCACAGAGCAGGTTTGAAACACTCTTTTTGCAGTGTGTGTAAGTGGACATTTGGAGCACTTTCCTGCCTAAGGTGAAAAAGGAAATATCTTCCCATAAAAACTAGACAGAAGCATTCTCAGAAACTTACTCGTGATGTGTGTCCTCAACTAAAGGTGTAGAACCTTTCTTTTCATAGAGAAGTTTTCAAACGCTCTTTTTGTGGAATCTGCAAGTGGATATTTGGCTAGTTTTGAGGATTTCGTTGGAAGCGGGAATTGATACAAATTGCAGACTGCAGCGTTCTGAGAAACATCTTTGTGATGTTTGTATTCAGGACACAGAGTTGAACATTCCCTATCATAGAGCAGGTTTGAATCACTCCTTTTGTAGTATCTGGAAGTGGACATTTGGAGCGCTTTCAGGCCCTATGTTGGAAAAGGAAATATCTTCCCATAACAAATAGACAGGAAGCATTCTCAGAAACTTATTTGAGATGTGTGTACTCAACTAAGAGAATTGAACCACCGTTTTGAAGGAGCAGTTTTGAAACACTCTTTTTCTGGAATCTGCAAGTGGATATTTGGCTAGCTTTGGGGATTTCGCTGGAAGCGGGAATACATATAAAAAGCACACAGCAGCGTTCTGAGAAACTGCTTTCTGATGTTTGCATTCAAGTCAAAAGTTGAACACTCCCTTTCATAGAGCAGTCCTGAAACACTCCTTTTGTAGTATCTGGAACTGGACATTTGGAGCGCTTTCAGGGCTAAGGTGAAAAAGGAAATATCTTCCCATAAAAACTGGACAGAAGCATTCTCAGAAACTTGTTTATGCTGTATCTACTCTACTAACAAAGTTGAACCTTTCTTTTGATAGAGCAGTTTTGAAATGCTCTTTTTGTGGAATCTGCAAGTGGATATTTGGCTAGATTTGAGGATTTCGTTGGAAGCTGGAATTCATACAAATTGCAGACTGCAGCGTTCTGATAAACATCTTTGTGATGTTTGTATTCAGGACAGAGAGTTGAACATTCCCTATCATAGAGCAGGTTGGAATCACTCCTTTTGTAGTATCTGGAAGTGGACATTTGGAGCGCTTTCAGGCCTATGTTGAAAAAGGAAATATCTTCCCATAACAACTAGACACAAGCATTCTCAGAAACTTGTTTGTGATGTGTGCCCTCTAGTGACAGAGTTGAACCTTTCTTTTCATAGAGCAGTTTTGAAACACTCTTTTTGTAGAATCTGCAAGAGGATATTTGCATAGCTTTGAGGATTTCGTGGGAAACGGGATTGTCTTCAGGTAAAATCTAGACAGAAGCATTCTCAGAAACTTCTTTGGGATGTTTGCATTCAAGTCACAGAGTAGAACATTCCCTTTGCTAGAGCAGGTTTGAAACACTCTTTTTGTAGTATCTGGAAGTGGACATTTGGAGCGCTTTCAGGCCTATGTTGGAAAGGGAAATATCTTCCCGTAACAACTGGGCAGAAGCATTCTCAGAAACTTATTTGAGATGTGTGTACTCAACTAAGAGAATTGAACCACCGTTTTGAAGGAGCAGTTTTGAAACACTCTTTTTCTGGAATCTGCAAGAGGATATTTGCCTAGCCTTGAGGATTTCGTTGGAAACGGGATTGTCTTCAGATCAAATCTAGACAGAAGCATTCTCAGGAAACTTCTTTGGGATGTTTGCATTCAAGTCACAGAGTAGAACATTCCCTTTGGTAGAGCAGGTTTGAAACACTCTTTTTTTAGTATATGGAAGTGGACATTTGGAGCGCTTTCAGGCCTACGTTGGAAAAGGAAATATCTTCCCATAACAACTAGACAGAAGCATTCTCAGAAACTAGTTTCTGATGTGTGTCCTCAACTAACACAGTTGAACATTTCTTTAGACAGAACAGTTTTGAAACTCTCTTTTTGTGGAATCTGCAAGTGGCTATTTGGCTAGATTTGAGGATTTCGTTGGAAACGGGATTACATATAAAAAGCAGACAGCAGCATTCTCAGAACGTTCTTTGTGATGATTGCATTCAAGTCACAGAATTGAACATTCCCTTTCACAGAGCAGGTTTGAAACACTCTTTTTGTAGTGTGTGTAAGTGGACTTTTGGAGCACTTTCCGGCCTAAGGTGAAAAAGGAAATATCTTCCCATAAAAACTAGACAGAAGCATTCTCAGAAACTTACTCGTGATGTGTGTCCTCAACTAAAGGAGTAGAACCTTTCTTTTCATAGAGAAGTTTTGAAACGCTCTTTTTGTGGAATCTGCAAGTGGATATTTGGCTAGTTTTGAGGATTTCGTTGGAAGCGGGAATTCATACAAATTGCAGACTGCAGCGTTCTGAGAAACATCTTTGTGATGTTTGTATTCAGGACACAGAGTTGAACATTCCCTATCATAGAGCAGGTTTGAATCACTCCTTTTGTAGTATCTGGAAGTGGACATTTGGAGCGCTTTCAGGCCTATGTTGGAAAAGGAAATATCTTCCCATAACAACTAGACAGAAGCATTCTCAGAAACTTATTTGAGATGTGTGTACTCAACTAAGAGAATTGAACCACCGTTTTGAAGGAGCAGTTTTGAAACTCTCTTTTTCTGGAATCTGCAAGTGGATATTTGGCTAGCTTTGGGGATTTCGCTGGAAGCGGGAATACATATAAAAAGCACACAGCAGCGTTCTGAGAAACTGCTTTCTGATGTTTGCATTCAAGTCAAAAGTTGAACACTCCCTTTCATAGAGCAGTCCTGAAACACCCCTTTTGTAGTATCTGGAACTGGACTTTTGGAGCGATTTCAGGGCTAAGGTGAAAAAGGAAATATCTTCCCATAAAAACTGGACAGAAGCATTCTCAGAAACTTGTTTATGCTGTATCTACTCAACTAACAAAGTTGAACCTTTCTTTTGATAGAGCAGTTTTGAAATGGTCTTTTTGTGGAATCTGCAAGTGGATATTTGGCTAGTTTTGAGGATTTCGTTGGAAGCGGGAATTCATACAAATTGCAGACTGCAGCGTTCTGAGAAACATCTTTGTGATGTTTGTATTCAGGACACAGAGTTGAACATTCCCTATCATAGAGCAGGTTGGAATCACTCCTTTTGTAGTATCTGGAAGTGGACATTTGGAGCGCTTTCAGGCCTATTTTGGAAAGGGAAATATCTTCCCGTAACAACTATGCAGAAGCATTCTCAGAAACTTGTTTGTGATGTGTGCCCTCTACTGACAGAGTTGAACCTTTCTTTTCATAGAGCAGTTTTGAAACACTCTTTTTGTAGAATCTGCAAGAGGATATTTGCATAGCTTTGAGGATTTCGTGGGAAACGGGATTGTCTTCAGGTAAAATCTAGACAGAAGCATTCTCAGAAACTTCTTTGGGATGTTTGCATTCAAGTCACAGAGTAGAACATTCCCTTTGGTAGAGCAGGTTTGAAACACTCTTTTTGTAGTATCTGGAAGTGGACATTTGGAGCGCTTTCAGGCCCATGTTGGAAAGGGAAATATCTTCCCGTAACAACTAGGCAGAAGCATTCTCAGAAACTTATTTGAGATGTGTGTACTCAACTAAGAGAATTGAACCACCGTTTTGAAGGAGCAGTTTTGAAACACTCTTTTTCTGGAATCTGCAAGAGTATATTTGCCTAGCCTTGAGGATTTCGTTGGAAACGGGATTGTCTTCAGAGAAAATCTAGACAGAAGCATTCTCAGAAACTTCTTTGGGATGTTTGCATTCAAGTCACAGAGTAGAACATTCCCTTTGGTAGAGCAGGTTTGAAACACTCTTTTTGTAGTATCTGGAAATGGACATTTGGAGCGCTTTCAGGCCTACGTTGGAAAAGGAAATATCTTCCCATAACAACTAGACAGAAGCATTCTCAGAAACTAGTTTCTGATGTGTGTCCTCAACTAACACAGTTGAACATTTCTTTAGACAGAACAGTTTTGAAACACTCTTTTTGTGGAATCTGCAAGTGGCTATTTGGCTAGATTTGAGGATTTCGTTGGAAACGGGATTACATATAAAAAGCAGTCAGCAGCATTCTCAGAAAGTTCTTTGTGATGATTGCATTCAAGTCACAGAATTGAACATTCCGTTTCACAGAGCAGGTTTGAAACACTCTTTTTGTAGTGTGTGTAAGTGGACATTTGGAGCACTTACCGGCCTAAGGTGAAAAAGGAAATATCTTCCCATAAAAACTAGACAGGAAGCATTCTCAGAAACTTACTCGTGATGTGTGTCCTCAACTAAAGGAGTAGAACCTTTCTTTTCATAGAGAAGTTTTGAAACGCTCTTTTTGTGGAATCTGCAAGTGGATATTTGGCTAGTTTGGAGGATTTCGTTGGAAGCGGGAATTCATACAAATTGCAGACTGCAGCGTTCTGAGAAACATCTTTGTGATGTTTGTATTCAGGACACAGAGTTGAACATTCCCTATCATAGAGCAGGTTTGAATCACTCCTTTTGTAGTATCTGGAAGTGGACATTTGGAGCGCTTTCAGGCCTATGTTGGAAAAGGAAATATCTTCCCATAACAACTAGACAGAAGCATTCTCAGAAACTTATTTGAGATGTGTGTACTCAACTAAGAGAATTGAACCACCGTTTTGAAGGAGCAGTTTTGAAACACTCTTTTTCTGGAATCTGCAAGTGGATATTTGGCTAGCTTTGGGGATTTCGCTGGAAGCGGGAATACATATAAAAAGCACACAGCAGCGTTCTGAGAAACTGCTTTCTGATGTTTGCATTCAAGTCAAAAGTTGAACACTCCCTTTCATAGAGCAGTCTTGAAACACCCCTTTTGTAGTATCTGGAACTGGACTTTTGGAGCGATTTCAGGGCTAAGGTGAAAAAGGAAATATCTTCCCATAAAAACTGGACAGAAGCATTCTCAGAAACTTGGTTATGCTGTATCTACTCAACTAACAAAGTTGAACCTTTCTTTTGATAGAGCAGTTTTGAAATGGTCTTTTTGTGGAATCTGCAAGTGGATATTTGGCTAGTTTTGAGGATTTCGTTGGAAGCGGGAATTCATACAAATTGCAGACTGCAGCGTTCTGAGAAACATCTTTGTGATGTTTGTATTCAGGACACAGAGTTGAACATTCCCTATCATAGAGCAGGTTGGAATCACTCCTTTTGTAGTATCTGGAAGTGGACATTTGGAGCGCTTTCAGGCCTATTTTGGAAAGGGAAATATCTTCCCGTAACAACTATGCAGAAGCATTCTCAGAAACTTGTTTGTGATGTGTGCCCTCTACTGACAGAGTTGAACCTTTCTTTTCATAGAGCAGTTTTGAAACACTCTTTTTGTAGAATCTGCAAGAGGATATTTGCATAGCTTTGAGGATTTCGTGGGAAACGGGATTGTCTTCAGGTAAAATCTAGACAGAAGCATTCTCAGAAACTTCTTTGGGATGTTTGCATTCAAGTCACAGAGTAGAACATTCCCTTTGGTAGAGCAGGTTTGAAACACTCTTTTTGTAGTATCTGGAAGTGGACATTTGGAGCGCTTTCAGGCCCATGTTGGAAAGGGAAATATCTTCCCGTAACAACTAGGCAGAAGCATTCTCAGAAACTTATTTGAGATGTGTGTACTCAACTAAGAGAATTGAACCACCGTTTTGAAGGAGCAGTTTTGAAACACTCTTTTTCTGGAATCTGCAAGAGTATATTTGCCTAGCCTTGAGGATTTCGTTGGAAACGGGATTGTCTTCAGATCAAATCTAGACAGAAGCATTCTCAGAAACTTCTTTGGGATGTTTGCATTCAAGTCACAGAGTAGAACATTCCCTTTGGTAGAGCAGGTTTGAAACACTCTTTTTTTAGTATATGGAAGTGGACATTTGGAGCGATTTCCGGCCTACGTTGGAAAAGGAAATATCTTCCCATAACAACTAGACAGAAGCATTCTCAGAAACTAGTTTCTGATGTGTGTCCTCAACTAACACAGTTGAACATTTCTTTAGACAGAACAGTTTTGAAACACTCTTTTTGTGGAATCTGCAAGTGGCTATTTGGCTAGATTTGAGGATTTCGTTGGAAACGGGATTACATATAAAAAGCAGTCAGCAGCATTCTCAGAAAGTTCTTTGTGATGATTGCATTCAAGTCACAGAATTGAACATTCCCTTTCACAGAGCAGGTTTGAAACACTCTTTTTGTAGTGTGTGTAAGTGGACATTTGGAGCACTTTCCGGCCTAAGGTGAAAAAGGAAATATCTTCCCATAAAAACTAGACAGAAGCATTCTCAGAAACTTACTCGTGATGTGTGTCCTCAACTAAAGGAGTAGAACCTTTCTTTTCATAGAGAAGTTTTGAAACGCTCTTTTTGTGGAATCTGCAAGTGGATATTTGGCTAGTTTTGAGGATTTCGTTGGAAGCGGGAATTCATACAAATTGCAGACTGCAGCGTTCTGAGAAACATCTTTGTGATGTTTGTATTCAGGACACAGAGTTGAACATTCCCTATCATAGAGCAGGTTTGAATCACTCCTTTTGTAGTATCTGGAAGTGGACATTTGGAGCGCTTTCAGGCCTATGTTGGAAAAGGAAATATCTTCCCATAACAACTAGACAGAAGCATTCTCAGAAACTTATTTGAGATGTGTGTACTCAACTAAGAGAATTGAACCACCGTTTTGAAGGAGCAGTTTTGAAACACTCTTTTTCTGGAATCTGCAAGTGGATATTTGGCTAGCTTTGGGGATTTCGCTGGAAGCGGGAATACATATAAAAAGCACACAGCAGCGTTCTGAGAAACTGCTTTCTGATGTTTGCATTCAAGTCAAAAGTTGAACACTCCCTTTCATAGAGCAGTCTTGAAACACCCCTTTTGTAGTATCTGGAACTGGACTTTTGGAGCGATTTCAGGGCTAAGGTGAAAAAGGAAATATCTTCCCATAAAAACTGGACAGAAGCATTCTCAGAAACTTGTTTATGCTGTATCTACTCAACTAACAAAGTTGAACCTTTCTTTTGATAGAGCAGTTTTGAAATGGTCTTTTTGTGGAATCTGCAAGTGGATATTTGGCTAGTTTTGAGGATTTCGTTGGAAGCGGGAATTCATACAAATTGCAGACTGCAGCGTTCTGAGAAACATCTTTGTGATGTTTGTATTCAGGACACAGAGTTGAACATTCCCTATCATAGAGCAGGTTGGAATCACTCCTTTTGTAGTATCTGGAAGTGGACATTTGGAGCGCTTTCAGGCCTATTTTGGAAAGGGAAATATCTTCCCGTAACAACTATGCAGAAGCATTCTCAGAAACTTGTTTGTGATGTGTGCCCTCTACTGACAGAGTTGAACCTTTCTTTTCATAGAGCAGTTTTGAAACACTCTTTTTGTAGAATCTGCAAGAGGATATTTGCATAGCTTTGAGGATTTCGTGGGAAACGGGATTGTCTTCAGGTAAAATCTAGACAGAAGCATTCTTAGAAACTTCTTTGGGATGTTTGCATTCAAGTCACAGAGTAGAACATTCCCTTTGGTAGAGCAGGTTTGAAACACTCTTTTTGTAGTATCTGGAAGTGGACATTTGGAGCGCTTTCAGGCCCATGTTGGAAAGGGAAATATCTTCCCGTAACAACTAGGCAGAAGCATTCTCAGAAACTTATTTGAGATGTGTGTACTCAACTAAGAGAATTGAACCACCGTTTTGAAGGCGCAGTTTTGAAACACTCTTTTTCTGGAATCTGCAAGAGTATATTTGCCTAGCCTTGAGGATTTCGTTGGAAACGGGATTGTCTTCAGAGAAAATCTAGACAGAAGCATTCTCAGAAACTTCTTTGGGATGCTTGCATTCAAGTCACAGAGTAGAACATTCCCTTTGGTAGAGCAGGTTTGAAACACTCTTTTTGTAGTATCTGGAAGTGGACATTTGGAGCGCTTTCAGGCCTACGTTGGAAAAGGAAATATCTTCCCATAACAACTAGACAGAAGCATTCTCAGAAACTAGTTTCTGATGTGTGTCCTCAACTAACAGAGTTGAACATTTCTTTAGACAGAACAGTTTTGAAACACTCTTTTTGTGGAATCTGCAAGTGGCTATTTGGCTAGATTTGAGGATTTCGTTGGAAACGGGATTACATATAAAAAGCAGCCAGCAGCATTCTCAGAAAGTTCTTTGTGATGATTGCATTCAAGTCACAGAATTGAACATTCCCTTTCACAGAGCAGGTTTGAAACACTCTTTTTGTAGTGTGTGTAAGTGGACATTTGGAGCACTTACCGGCCTAAGGTGAAAAAGGAAATAATCTTCCCATAAAAACTAGACAGAAGCATTCTCAGAAACTTACTCGTGATGTGTGTCCTCAACTAAAGGAGTAGAACCTTTCTTTTCATAGAGAAGTTTTGAAACGCTCTTTTTGTGGAATCTGCAAGTGGATATTTGGCTAGTTTTGAGGATTTCGTTGGAAGCGGGAATTCATACAAATTGCAGACTGCAGCGTTCTGAGAAACAACTTTGTGATGTTTGTATTCAGGACACAGAGTTGAACATTCCCTATCATAGAGCAGGTTTGAATCACTCCTTTTGTAGTATCTGGAAGTGGACATTTGGAGCGCTTTCAGGCCTATGTTGGAAAAGGAAATATCTTCCCATAACAACTAGACAGAAGCATTCTCAGAAACTTATTTGAGATGTGTGTACTCAACTAAGAGAATTGAACCACCGTTTTGAAGGAGCAGTTTTGAAACTCTCTTTTTCTGGAATCTGCAAGTGGATATTTGGCTAGCTTTGGGGATTTCGCTGGAAGCGGGAATACATATAAAAAGCACACAGCAGCGTTCTGAGAAACTGCTTTCTGATGTTTGCATTCAAGTCAAAAGTTGAACACTCCCTTTCATAGAGCAGTCTTGAAACACCCCTTTTGTAGTATCTGGAACTGGACTTTTGGAGCGATTTCAGGGCTAAGGTGAAAAAGGAAATATCTTCCCATAAAAACTGGACAGAAGCATTCTCAGAAACTTGTTTATGCTGTATCTACTCAACTAACAAAGTTGAACCTTTCTTTTGATAGAGCAGTTTTGAAATGGTCTTTTTGTGGAATCTGCAAGTGGATATTTGGCTAGTTTTGAGGATTTCGTTGGAAGCGGGAATTCATACAAATTGCAGACTGCAGCGTTCTGAGAAACATCTTTGTGATGTTTGTATTCAGGACACAGAGTTGAACATTCCCTATCATAGAGCAGGTTGGAATCACTCCTTTTGTAGTATCTGGAAGTGGACATTTGGAGCGCTTTCAGGCCTATGTTGGAAAAGGAAATATCTTCCCATAACAACTAGACAGAAGCATTCTCAGAAACTTATTTGAGATGTGTGTACTCAACTAAGAGAATTGAACCACCGTTTTGAAGGAGCAGTTTTGAAACTCTCTTTTTCTGGAATCTGCAAGTGGATATTTGGCTAGCTTTGGGGATTTCGCTGGAAGCGGGAATACATATAAAAAGCACACAGCAGCGTTCTGAGAAACTGCTTTCTGATGTTTGCATTCAAGTCAAAAGTTGAACACTCCCTTTCATAGAGCAGTCTTGAAACACCCCTTTTGTAGTATCTGGAACTGGACTTTTGGAGCGATTTCAGGGCTAAGGTGAAAAAGGAAATATCTTCCCATAAAAACTGGACAGAAGCATTCTCAGAAACTTGTTTATGCTGTATCTACTCAACCAGCAAAGTTGAACCTTTCTTTTGATAGAGCAGTTTTGAAATGGTCTTTTTGTGGAATCTGCAAGTGGATATTTGGCTAGTTTTGAGGATTTCGTTGGAAGCGGGAATTCATACAAATTGCAGACTGCAGCAGTTCTGAGAAACATCTTTGTGATGTTTGTATTCAGGACACAGAGATGAACATTCCCTATCATAGAGCAGGTTGGAATCACTCCTTTTGTAGTATCTGGAAGTGGACATTTGGAGCGCTTTCAGGCCTATGTTGAAAAAGGAAATATCTTCCCATAACAACTAGACACAAGCATTCTCAGAAACTTGTTTGTGATGTGTGCCCTCTACTGACAGAGTTGAACCTTTCTTTTCATAGAGCAGTTTTGAAACACTCTTTTTGTAGAATCTGCAAGAGGATATTTGCATAGCTTTGAGGATTTCGTGGGAAACGGGATTGTCTTCAGGTAAAATCTAGACAGAAGCATTCTCAGAAACTTCTTTGGGATGTTTGCATTCAAGTCACAGAGTAGAACATTCCCTTTGGTAGAGCAGGTTTGAAACACTCTTTTTGTAGTATCTGGAAGTGGACATTTGGAGCGCTTTCAGGCCCATGTTGGAAAGGGAAATATCTTCCCGTAACAACTAGGCAGAAGCATTCTCAGAAACTTATTTGAGATGTGTGTACTCAAGTAAGAGAACTGAACCACCGTTTTGAAGGAGCAGTTTTGAAACACTCTTTTTCTGGAATCTGCAAGAGTATATTTGCCTAGCCTTGAGGATTTCGTTGGAAACGGGATTGTCTTCAGATAAAATCTAGACAGAAGCATTCTCAGAAACTTCTTTGGGATGTTTGCATTCAAGTCACAGAGTAGAACATTCCCTTTGGTAGAGCAGGTTTGAAACACTCTTTTTTTAGTATATGGAAGTGGACATTTGGAGCGCTTTCAGGCCTACGTTGGAAAAGGAAATATCTTCCCATAACAACTAGACAGAAGCATTCTCAGAAACTAGTTTCTGATGTGTGTCCTCAACTAACACAGTTGTACATTTCTTTATACAGAACAGTTTTGAAACACTCTTTTTGTGGAATCTGCAAGTGGATATTGGGCTAGATTTGAGGATTTCGTTGGAAACGGGATTACATATAAAAAGCAGACAGCAGCATTCTCAGAAAGTTCTTTGTGATGATTGCATTCAAGTCACAGAATTGAACATTCCCTTTCACAGAGCAGGTTTGAAACACTCTTTTTGTAGTGTGTGTAAGTGGACATTTGGAGCGCTTTCCGGCCTAAGGTGAAAAAGGACATATCTTCCCATAAAAACTAGACAGAAGCATTCTCAGAAACTTACTCGTGATGTGTGTCCTCAACTAAAGGAGTAGAACCTTTCTATTCATAGAGAAGTTTTGAAACGCTCTTTTTGTGGAATCTCCAAGTGGATATTTGGCTAGTTTTGAGGATTTCGTTGGAAGCGGGAATTCATACAAATTGCAGACTGCAGCGTTCTGAGAAACATCTTTGTGATGTTTGTATTCAAGACACAGAGATGAACATTCCCTATCATAGAGCAGGTTGGAATCACTCCTTTTGTAGTATCTGGAAGTGGACATTTGGAGCGCTTTCAGGCCTATGTTGAAAAAGGAAATATCTTCCCATAACAACTAGACACAAGCGTTCTCAGAAACTTGTTTGTGATGTGTGCCCTCTACTGACAGAGTTGAACCTTTCTTTTCATAGAGCAGTTTTGAAACCCTCTTTTTCTGGAATCTGCAAGAGTATATTTGCCTAGCCTTGAGGATTTCGTTGGAAACGGGATTGTCTTCAGATAAAATCTAGACAGAAGCATTCTCAGAAACTTCTTTGGGATGTTTGCATTCAAGTCACAGAGTAGAACATTCCCTTTGGTAGAGCAGGTTTGAAACACTCTTTTTTTAGTATATGGAAGTGGACATTTGGAGCGCTTTCAGGCCTACGTTGGAAAAGGAAATATCTTCCCATAACAACTAGACAGAAGCATTCTCAGAAACTAGTTTCTGATGTGTGTCCTCAACTAACACAGTTGAACATTTCTTTAGACAGAACAGTTTTGAAACACTCTTTTTGTGGAATCTGCAAGTGGCTATTTGGCAAGATTTGAGGATTTCGTTGGAAACGGGATTACATATAAAAAGCAGACAGCACCATTCTCAGAAAGTTCTTTGTGATGATTGCATTCAAGTCACAGAATTGAACATTCCCTTTCACAGAGCAGGTTTGAAACACTCTTTTTGTAGTGTGTGTAAGTGGACATTTGGAGCGCTTTCCGGCCTAAGGTGAAAAAGGAAATATCTTCCCATAAAAACTAGACAGAAGCATTCTCAGAAACTTACTCGTGATGTGTGTCCTCAACTAAAGGAGTAGAACCTTTCTATTCATAGAGAAGTTTTGAAACGCTCTTTTTGTGGAATCTCCAAGTGGATATTTGGCAAGTTTTGAGGATTTCGTTGGAAGCGGGAATTCATACAAATTGCAGACTGCAAGCGTTCTGAGAAACATCTTTGTGATGTTTGTATTCAGGACACAGAGATGAACATTCCCTATCATAGAGCAGGTTGGAATCACTCCTTTTGTAGTATCTGGAAGTGGACATTTGGAGCGCTTTCAGGCCTATGTTGAAAAAGGAAATATCTTCCCATAACAACTAGACACAAGCATTCTCAGAAACTTGTTTGTGATGTGTGCCCTCTACTGACAGAGTTGAACCTTTCTTTTCATAGAGCAGTTTTGAAACACTCTTTTTGTAGAATCTGCAAGAGGATATTTGCATAGCTTTGAGGATTTCGTGGGAAACGGGATTGTCTTCAGGTAAAATCTAGACAGAAGCATTCTCAGAAACTTCTTTGGGATGTTTGCATTCAAGTCACAGAGTAGAACATTCCCTTTGGTAGAGCAGGTTTGAAACACTCTTTTTGTAGTATCTGGAAGTGGACATTTGGAGCGCTTTCAGGCCTATGTTGGAAAGGGAAATATCTTCCCGTAACAACTAGGCAGAAGCATTCTCAGAAACTTATTTGAGATGTGTGTACTCAACTAAGAGAATTGAACCACCGTTTTGAAGGAGCAGTTTTGAAACACTCTTTTTCTGGAATCTGCAAGAGGATATTTGCCTAGCCTTGAGGATTTCGTTGGAAACCGGATTGTCTTCAGATCAAATCTAGACAGAAGCATTCTCAGAAACTTCTTTGAGATGTTTGCATTCAAGTCACAGAGTAGAACATTCCCTTTGGTAGAGCAGGTTTGAAACACTCTTTTTTTAGTATATGGAAGTGGACATTTGGAGCGCTTTCAGGCCTACGTTGGAAAAGGAAATATCTTCCCATAACAACTAGACAGAAGCATTCTCAGAAACTAGTTTCTGATGTGTGTCCTCAACTAACACAGTTGTACATTTCTTTAGACAGAACAGTTTCGAAACACTCTTTTTGTGGAATCTGCAAGTGGATATTTGGCTAGATTTGAGGATTTCGTTGGAAACGGGATTACATATAAAAAGCAGACAGCAGCATTCTCAGAAAGTTCTTTGTGATGATTGCATTCAAGTCACAGAATTGAACATTCCCTTTCACAGAGCAGGTTTGAAACACTCTTTTTGTAGTGTGTGTAAGTGGACATTTGGAGCGCTTTCCGGCCTAAGGTGAAAAAGGAAATATCTTCCCATAAAAACTAGACAGAAGCATTCTCAGAAACTTACTCGTGATGTGTGTCCTCAACTAAAGGAGTAGAACCTTTCTTTTCATAGAGAAGTTTTGAAACGCTCTTTTTGTGGAATCTGCAAGTGGATATTTGGCTAGTTTGGAGGATTTCGTTGGAAGCGGGAATTCATACAAATTGCAGACTGCAGCGTTCTGAGAAACATCTTTGTGATGTTTGTATTCAGGACACAGAGTTGAACATTCCCTATCATAGAGCAGGTTGGAATCACTCCTTTTGTAGTATCTGGAAGTGGACATTTGGAGCGCTTTCAGGCCTATGTTGGAAAAGGAAATATCTTCCCATAACAACTAGACAGAAGCATTCTCAGAAACTTATTTGAGATGTGTGTACTCAACTAAGAGAATTGAACCACCGTTTTGAAGGAGCAGTTTTGAAACACTCTTTTTCTGGAATCTGCAAGTGGATATTTGGCTAGCTTTGGGGATTTCGCTGGAAGCGGGAATACATATAAAAAGCACACAGCAGCGTTCTGAGAAACTGCTTTCTGATGTTTCCATTCAAGTCAAAAGTTGAACACTCCCTTTCATAGAGCAGTCTTGAAACACCCCTTTTGTAGTATCTGCAACTGGACATTTGGAGCGCTTTCAGGGCTAAGGTGAAAAAGGAAATATCTTCCCATAAAAACTGGACAGAAGCATTCTCAGAAACTTGTTTATGCTGTATCTACTCAACTAACAAAGTTGAACCTTTCTTTTGATAGAGCAGTTTTGAAATGCTCTTTTTGTGGAATCTGCAAGTGGATATTTGGCTAGGTTTGAGGATTTCGTTGGAAGCAGGAATTCACACAAATTGCAGACTGCAGCGTTCTGAGAAACATCTTTGTGATGTTTGTATTCAGGACAGAGAGTTGAACATTCCCTATCATAGAGCAGGTTGGAATCACTCCTTTTGTAGTATCTGGAAGTGGACATTTGGAGCGCTTTCAGGCCTATGTTGAAAAAGGAAATATCTTCCCATAACAACTAGACACAAGCATTCTCAGAAACTTGTTTGTGATGTGTGCCCTCTACTGACAGAGTTGAACCTTTCTTTTCATAGAGCAGTTTTGAAACACTCTTTTTGTAGAATCTGCAAGAGGATATTTGCATAGCTTTGAGGATTTCGTGGGAAACGGGATTGTCTTCAGGTAAAATCTAGACAGAAGCATTCTCAGAAACTTCTTTGGGATGTTTGCATTCAAGTCACAGAGCAGAACATTCCCTTTGGTAGAGCAGGTTTGAAACACTCTTTTTGTAGTATCTGGAAGTGGACATTTGGAGCGCTTTCAGGCCTATGTTGGAAAGGGAAATATCTTCCCGTAACAACTAGGCAGAAGCATTCTCAGAAACTTATTTGAGATGTGTGTACTCAACTAAGAGAATTGAACCACCGTTTTGAAGGAGTAGTTTTGAAACACTCTTTTTCTGGAATCTGCAAGAGGATATTTGCCTAGCCTTGAGGATTTCGTTGGAAACGGGATTGTCTTCAGATCAAATCTAGACAGAAGCATTCTCAGAAACTTCTTTGGGATGTTTGCATTCAAGTCACAGAGTAGAACATTCCCTTTGGTAGAGCAGGTTTGAAACACTCTTTTTTTAGTATATGGAAGTGGACATTTGGAGCCCTTTCAGGCCTACGTTGGAAAAGGAAATATCTTCCCATAACAACTAGACAGAAGCATTCTCAGAAACTTATTTGAGATGTGTGTATTCAACTAAGAGAATTGAACCACCGTTTTGAAGGAGGAGTTTTGAAACACTCTTTTTCTGGAATCTGCAAGTGGATATTTAGCTAGATTTGAGGATTTCGTTGGAAACGGGATTACATATACAAAGCAGACAGCAGCAGTCTCAGAAAGTTCTTTGTGATGATTGCATTCAAGTCACAGAATTGAACATTCCCTTTCACAGAGCAGGTTTGAAACACTCTTTTTGTAGTGTGTGTAAGTGGACATTTGGAGCACTTACCGGCCTAAGGTGAAAAAGGAAATATCTTCCCATAAAAACTAGACAGAAGCATTCTCAGAAACTTACTCGTGATGTGTGTCCTCAACTAAAGGAGTAGAACCTTTCTTTTCATAGAGAAGTTTTGAAACGCTCTTTTTGTGGAATCTGCAAGTGGATATTTGGCTAGTTTTGAGGATTTCGTTGGAAGCGGGAATTCATACAAATTGCAGACTGCAGCGTTCTGACAAACATCTTTGTGATGTTTGTATTCAGGACACAGAGTTGAACATTCCCTATCATAGAGCAGGTTTGAATCACTCCTTTTGTAGTATCTGGAAGTGGACATTTGGAGCGCTTTCAGGCCTATGTTGAAAAAGGAAATATCTTCCCATAACAACTAGACAGAAGCATTCTCAGAAACTTATTTGAGATGTGTGTACTCAACTAAGAGAATTGAACCACCGTTTTGAAGGAGCAGTTTTGAAACACTCTTTTTCTGGAATCTGCAAGTGGATATTTGGCTAGCTTTGGGGATTTCGCTGGAAGCGGGAATACATATAAAAAGCACACAGCAGCGTTCTGAGAAACTGCTTTCTGATGTTTGCATTCAAGTCAAAAGTTGAACACTCCCTTTCATAGAGCAGTCCTGAAACACTCCTTTTGTAGTATCTGGAACTGGACTTTTGGAGCGCTTTCAGGGCTAAGGTGAAAAAGGAAATATCTTCCCATAAAAACTGGACAGAAGCATTCTCAGAAACTTGTTTATGCTGTATCTACTCAACTAACAAAGTTGAACCTTTCTTTTGATAGAGCAGTTTTGAAATGCTCTTTTTGTGGAATCTGCAAGTGGATATTTGGCTAGTTTTGAGGATTTCGTTGGAAGCGGGAATTCATACAAATTGCAGACTGCAGCGTTCTGAGAAACATCTTTGTGATGTTTGTATTCAGGACACAGAGTTGAACATTCCCTATCATAGAGCAGGTTGGAATCACTCCTTTTGTAGTATCTGGAAGTGGACATTTGGAGCGCTTTCAGGCCTATGTTAAAAAAGGAAATATCTTCCCATAACAACTAGACACAAGCATTCTCAGAAACTTATTTGAGATGTGTGTACTCAACTAAGAGAATTGAACCACCGTTTTGAAGGAGCAGTTTTGAAACACTCTTTTTCTGGAATCTGCAAGTGGATATTTGGCTAGCTTTGGGGATTTCGCTGGATGCGGGAATACATATAAAAAGCACACAGCAGCGTTCTGAGAAACTGCTTTCTGATGTTTGCATTCAAGTCAAAAGTTGAACACTCCCTTTCATAGAGCAGTCCTGAAACACTCCTTTTGTAGTATCTGGAACTGGACTTTTGGAGCGCTTTCAGGGCTAAGGTGAAAAAGGAAATATCTTCCCATAAAAACTGGACAGAAGCATTCTCAGAAACTTTTTTATGCTGTATCTACTCAACTAACAAAGTTGAACCTTTCTTTTGATAGAGCAGTTTTGAAATGCTCTTTTTGTGGAATCTGCAAGTGGATATTTGGCTAGTTTTGAGGATTTCGTTGGAAGCGGGAATTCATACAAATTGCAGACTGCAGCGTTCTGAGAAACATCTTTGTGATGTTTGTATTCAGGACAGAGAGTTGAACATTCCCTATCATAGAGCAGGTTGGAATCACTCCTTTTGTAGTATCTGGAAGTGGACATTTGGAGCGCTTTCTGGCCTATGTTGAAAAAGGAAATATCTTCCCATAACAACTAGACACAAGCATTCTCAGAAACTTGTTTGTGATGTGTGCCCTCTACTGACAGAGTTGAACCTTTCTTTTCATAGAGCAGTTTTGAAACACTCTTTTTGTAGAATCTGCAAGAGGATATTTGCATAGCTTTGAGGATTTCGTGGGAAACGGGATTGTCTCAGGAAAAATCTAGACAGAAGCATTCTCAGAAACTTCTTTGGGATGTTTGCATTCAAGTCACAGAGTAAGAACATTCCCTTTGGTAGAGCAGGTTTGAAACACTCTTTTTGTAGTATCTGGAAGTGGACATTTGGAGCGCTTTCAGGCCCATGTTGGAAAGGGAAATATCTTCCCGTAACAACTAGGCAGAAGCATTCTCAGAAACTTATTTGAGATGTGTGTACTCAACTAAGAGAATTGAACCACCGTTTTGAAGGAGCAGTTTTGAAACACTCTTTTTCTGGAATCTGCAAGAGTATATTTGCCTAGCCTTGAGGATTTCGTTGGAAACGGGATTGTCTTCAGAGAAAATCTAGACAGAAGCATTCTCAGAAACTTCTTTGGGATGTTTGCATTCAAGTCACAGAGTAGAACATTCCCTTTGGTAGAGCAGGTTTGAAACACTCTTTTTTTAGTATATGGAAGTGGACATTTGGATCGCTTTCAGGCCTACGTTGGAAAAGGAAATATCTTCCCATAACAACTAGACAGAAGCATTCTCAGAAACTAGTTTCTGATGTGTGTCCTCAACTAACACAGTTGAACATTTCTTTAGACAGAACAGTTTTGAAACACTCTTTTTGTGGAATCTGCAAGTGGCTATTTGGCTAGATTTGAGGATTTCGTTGGAAACGGGATTACATATAAAAAGCAGACAGCAAGCATTCTCAGAAAGTTCTTTGTGGTGATTGCATTCAAGTCACAGAATTGAACATTCCCTTTCACAGAGCAGGTTTGAAACACTCTTTTTGTAGTGTGTGTAAGTGGACAGTTGGAGCGCTTTCCGGCCTAAGGTGAAAAAGGAAATATCTTCCCATAAAAACTAGACAGAAGCATTCTCAGAAACTTACTCGTGATGTGTGTCCTCAACTAAAGGAGTAGAACCTTTCTATTCATAGAGAAGTTTTGAAACGCTCTTTTTGTGGAATCTCCAAGTGGATATTTGGCTAGTTTTGAGGATTTCGTTGGAAGCGGGAATTCATACAAATTGCAGACTGCAGCGTTCTGAGAAACATCTTTGTGATGTTTGTATTCAGGACACAGAGATGAACATTCCCTATCATAGAGCAGGTTGGAATCACTCCTTTTGTAGTATCTGGAAGTGGACATTTGGAGCGCTTTCAGGCCTATGTTGAAAAAGGAAATATCTTCCCATAACAACTAGACACAAGCATTCTCAGAAACTTGTTTGTGATGTGTGCCCTCTACTGACAGAGTTGAACCTTTCTTTTCATAGAGCAGTTTTGAAACACTCTTTTTGTAGAATCCGCAAGAGGATATTTGCATAGCTTTGAGGATTTCGTGGGAAACGGGATTGTCTTCAGGTAAAATCTAGACAGAAGCATTCTCAGAAACTTCTTTGGGATGTTTGCATTCAAGTCACAGAGTAGAACATTCCCTTTGGTAGAGCAGGTTTGAAACACTCTTTTTGTAGTATCTGGAAGTGGACATTTGGAGCGCTTTCAGGCCCATGTTGGAAAGGGAAATATCTTCCCGTAACAACTAGGCAGAAGCATTCTCAGAAACTTATTTGAGATGTGTGTACTCAACTAAGAGAATTGAACCACCGTTTTGAAGGAGCAGTTTTGAAACACTCTTTTTCTGGAATCTGCAAGAGTATATTTGCCTAGCCTTGAGGATTTGGTTGGAAACGGGATTGTCTTCAGATAAAATCTAGACAGAAGCATTCTCAGAAACTTCTTTGGGATGTTTGCATTCAAGTCACAGAGTAGAACACTCCCTTTGGTAGAGCAGGTTTGAAACACTCTTTTTTTAGTATATGGAAGTGGACATTTGGAGCGCTTTCAGGCCTACGTTGGAAAAGGAAATATCTTCCCATAACAATTAGACAGAAGCATTCTCAGAAACTACTTTCTGATGTGTGTCCTCAACTAACACAGTTGAACATTTCTTTAGACAGAACAGTTTTGAAACACTCTTTTTGTGGAATCTGCAAGTGGCTATTTGGCTGGATTTGAGGATTTCGTTGGAAACGGGATTACATATAAAAAGCAGTCAGCAGCATTCTCAGAAAGTTCTTTGTGATGATTGCATTCAAGTCACAGAATTGAACATTCCCTTTCACAGAGCAGGTTTGAAAGACTCTTTTTGTAGTGTGTGTAAGTGGACATTTGGAGCACTTACCGGCCTAAGGTGAAAAAGGAAATATCTTCCCATAAAAACTAGACAGAAGCATTCTCAGAAACTTACTCGTGATGTGTGTCCTCAACTAAAGGAGTAGAACCTTTCTTTTCATAGAGAAGTTTTGAAACGCTCTTTTTGTGGAATCTGCAAGTGGATATTTGGCTAGTTTTGAGGATTTCGTTGGAAGCGGGAATTCATACAAATTGCAGACTGCAGCGTTCTGAGAAACATCTTTGTGACGTTTGTATTCAGGACACAGAGTTGAACATTCCCTATCATAGAGCAGGTTTGAATCACTCCTTTTGTAGTATCTGGAAGTGGACATTTGGAGCGCTTTCAGGCCTATGTTGGAAAAGGAAATATCTTCCCATAACAACTAGACAGAAGCATTCTCAGAAACTTATTTGAGATGTGTGTACTCAACTAAGAGAATTGAACCACCGTTTTGAAGGAGCAGTTTTGAAACACTCTTTTTCTGGAATCTGCAAGTGGATATTTGGCTAGCTTTGGGGATTTCGCTGGAGGCGGGAATACATATAAAAATCACACAGCAGCGTTCTGAGAAACTGCTTTCTGATGTTTGCATTCAAGTCAAAAGTTGAACACTCCCTTTCATAGAGCAGTCCTGAAACACTCCTTTTTTAGTATCTGGAACTGGACTTTTGGAGCGCTTTCAGGGCTAAGGTGAAAAAGGAAATATCTTCCCATAAAAACTGGACAGAAGCATTCTCAGAAACTTGTTTATGCTGTATCTACTCAACTAACAAAGTTGAACCTTTCTTTTGATAGAGCAGTTTTGAAATGCTCTTTTTGTGGAATCTGCAAGTGGATATTTGGCTAGTTTTGAGGATTTCGCTGGAAGCGGGAATTCATACAAATTGCAGACTGCAGCGTTCTGAGAAACATCTTTGTGATGTTTGTATTCAGGACAGAGAGTTGAACATTCCCTATCATAGAGCAGGTTGGAATCACTCCTTTTGTAGTATCTGGAAGTGGACATTTGGAGCGCTTTCAGCCTATGTTGAAAAAGGAAATATCTTCCCATAACAACTAGACACAAGCATTCTCAGAAACTTGTTTGTGATGTGTGCCCTCTACTGACAGAGTTGAACCTTTCTTTTCATAGAGCAGTTTTGAAACACTCTTTTTGTAGAATCCGCAAGAGGATATTTGCATAGCTTTGAGGATTTCGTGGGAAACGGGATTGTCTTCAGGTAAAATCTAGACAGAAGCATTCTCAGAAACTTCTTTGGGATGTTTGCATTCAAGTCACAGAGTAGAACATTCCCTTTGGTAGAGCAGGTTTGAAACACTCTTTTTGTAGTATCTGGAAGTGGACATTTGGAGCGCTTTCAGGCCCATGTTGGAAAGGGAAATATCTTCCCGTAACAACTAGGCAGAAGCATTCTCAGAAACTTATTTGAGATGTGTGTACTCAACTAAGAGAATTGAACCACCGTTTTGAAGGAGCAGTTTTGAAACCCTCTTTTTCTGGAATCTGCAAGAGTATATTTGCCTAGCCTTGAGGATTTCGTTGGAAACGGGATTGTCTTCAGATAAAATCTAGACAGAAGCATTCTCAGAAACTTCTTTGGGATGTTTGCATTCAAGTCACAGAGTAGAACATTCCCTTTGGTAGAGCAGGTTTGAAACACTCTTTTTTTAGTATATGGAAGTGGACATTTGGAGCGCTTTCAGGCCTACGTTGGAAAAGGAAATATCTTCCCATAACAACTAGACAGAAGCATTCTCAGAAACTAGTTTCTGATGTGTGTCCTCAACTAACACAGTTGTACATTTCTTTATACAGAACAGTTTTGAAACACTCTTTTTGTGGAATCTGCAAGTGGATATTGGGCTAGATTTGAGGATTTCGTTGGAAACGGGATTACATATAAAAAGCAGACAGCAGCATTCTCAGAAAGTTCTTTGTGATGATTGCATTCAAGTCACAGAATTGAACATTCCCTTTCACAGAGCAGGTTTGAAACACTCTTTTTGTAGTGTGTGTAAGTGGACATTTGGAGCGCTTTCCGGCCTAAGGTGAAAAAGGACATATCTTCCCATAAAAACTAGACAGAAGCATTCTCAGAAACTTACTCGTGATGTGTGTCCTCAACTAAAGGAGTAGAACCTTTCTATTCATAGAGAAGTTTTGAAACGCTCTTTTTGTGGAATCTCCAAGTGGATATTTGGCTAGTGTTGAGGATTTCGTTGGAAGCGGGAATTCATACAAATTGCAGACTGCAGCGTTCTGAGAAACATCTTTGTGATGTTTGTATTCAGGACACAGAGATGAACATTCCCTATCATAGAGCAGGTTGGAATCACTCCTTTTGTAGTATCTGGAAGTGGACATTTGGAGCGCTTTCAGGCCTATGTTGAAAAAGGAAATATCTTCCCATAACAACTAGACACAAGCATTCTCAGAAACTTGTTTGTGATGTGTGCCCTCTACTGACAGAGTTGAACCTTTCTTTTCATAGAGCAGTTTTGAAACACTCTTTTTGTAGAATCTGCAAGAGGATATTTGCATAGCTTTGAGGATTTCGTGGGAAACGGGATTGTCTTCAGGTAAAATCTAGACAGAAGCATTCTCAGAAACTTCTTTGGGATGTTTGCATTCAAGTCACAGAGTAGAACATTCCCTTTGGTAGAGTAGGTTTGAAACACTCTTTTTGTAGTATCTGGAAGTGGACATTTGGAGCGCTTTCAGGCCCATGTTGGAAAGGGAAATATCTTCCCGTAACAACTAGGCAGAAGCATTCTCAGAAACGTATTTGAGATGTGTGGACTCAACGAAGAGATTTGAACCACCGTTTTGAAGGAGCAGTTTTGAAACACTCTTTTTCTGGAATCTGCAAGAGTATATTTGCCTAGCCTTGAGGATTTCGTTGGAAACGGGATTGTCTTCACATAAAATCTAGACAGAAGCATTCTCAGAAACTTCTTTGGGATGTTTGCATTCAAGTCACAGAGTAGAACATTCCCTTTGGTAGAGCAGGTTTGAAACACTCTTTTTTTAGTATATGGAAGTGGACATTTGGAGCGCTTTCAGGCCTACGTTGGAAAAGGAAATATCTTCCCATAACAACTAGACAGAAGCATTCTCAGAAACTAGTTTCTGATGTGTGTCCTCAACTAACACAGTTGAACATTTCTTTAGACAGAACAGTTTTGAAACTCTCTTTTTGTGGAATCTGCAAGTGGCTATTTGGCTAGATTTGAGGATTTCGTTGGAAACGGGATTACATATAAAAAGCAGACAGCAGCATTCTCAGAAAGTTCTTTGTGATGATTGCATTCAAGTCACAGAATTGAACATTCCCTTTCACAGAGCAGGTTTGAAACACTCTTTTTATAGTGTGTGTAAGTGGACATTTGGAGCACTTTCCGGCCTAAGGTGAAAAAGGAAATATCTTCCCATAAAAACTAGACAGAAGCATTCTCAGAAACTTACTCGTGATGTGTGTCCTCAACTAAAGGAGTAGAACCTTTGTTTTCATAGAGAAGTTTTGAAACGCTCTTTTTGTGGAATCTGCAAGTGGATATTTGGCTAGTTTGGAGGATTTCGTTGGAAGCGGGAATTCATACAAATTGCAGACTGCAGCGTTCTGAGAAACATCTTTGTGATGTTTGTATTCAGGACACAGAGTTGAACATTCCCTATCATAGAGCAGGTTGGAATCACTCCTTTTGTAGTATCTGGAAGTGGACATTTGGAGCGCTTTCAGGCCTATTTTGGAAAAGGAAATATCTTCCCATAACAACTAGACAGAAGCATTCTCAGAAACTTATTTGAGATGTGTGTACTCAACTAAGAGAATTGAACCACCGTTTTGAAGGAGCAGTTTTGAAACACTCTTTTTCTGGAATCTGCAAGTGGATATTTGGCTAGCTTTGGGGATTTCGCTGGAAGCGGGAATACATATAAAAAGCACACAGCAGCGTTCTGAGAAACTGCTTTCTGATGTTTGCATTCAAGTCAAAAGTTGAACACTCCCTTTCATAGAGCAGTCCTGAAACACTCCTTTTGTAGTATCTGGAACTGGACTTTTGGAGCGCTTTCAGGGCTAAGGTGAAAAAGGAAATATCTTCCCATAAAAACTGGACAGAAGCATTCTCAGAAACTTGTTTATGCTGTATCTACTCTACTAAAAAAGTTGAACCTTTCTTTTGATAGAGCAGTTTTGAAATGCTCTTTTTGTGGAATCTGCAATTGGATATTTGGCTAGATTTGAGGATTTCGTTGGAAGCTGGAATACATACAAATTGCAGACTGCAGCGTTCTGAGAAACATCTTTGTGATGTTTGTATTCAGGACACAGAGTTGAACATTCCCTATCATAGAGCAGGTTGGAATCACTCCTTTTGTAGTATCTGGAAGTGGACATTTGGAGCGCTTTCTGGCCTATGTTGAAAAAGGAAATATCTTCCCATAACAACTAGACACAAGCATTCTCAGAAACTTGTTTGTGATGTGTGCCCTCTACTGACAGAGTTGAACCTTTCTTTTCATAGAGCAGTTTTGAAACACTCTTTTTGTAGAATCTGCAAGAGGATATTTGCATAGCTTTGAGGATTTCGTGGGAAACGGGATTGTCTTCAGGTAAAATCTAGACAGAAGCATTCTCAGAAACTTCTTTGGGATGTTTGCATTCAAGTCACAGAGTAGAACATTCCCTTTGGTAGAGCAGGTGTGAAACACTCTTTTTTTAGTATATGGAAGTGGACATTTGGAGCGCTTTCAGGCCTATGTTGGAAAGGGAAATATCTTCCGGTAACAACTAGGCAGAAGCATTCTCAGAAACTTATTTGAGATGTGTGTACTAAACTAAGAGAATTGAACCACCGTTTTGAAGGAGCAGTTTTGAAACACTCTTTTTCTGGAATCTGCAAGAGGATATTTGCCTAGCTTTGAGGATTTCGTTGGAAACGGGATTGTGTTCAGATCAAATCTAGACAGAAAGCATTCTCAGAAACTTCTTTGGGATGTTTGCATTCAAGTCACAGAGTAGCAACATTCCCTTTGGTAGAGCAGGTTTGAAACACTCTTTTTTTAGTATATGGAAGTGGACATTTGGAGCGCTTTCAGGCCTACGTTGGAAAAGGAAATATCTTCCCATAACAAATAGACAGAAGCATTCTCAGAAACTAGTTTCTGATGTGTGTCCTCAACTAACACAGTTGAACATTTCTTTAGACAGAACAGTTTTGAAACACTCTTTTTGTGGAATCTGCAAGTGGCTATTTGGCTAGATTTGAGGATTTCGTTGGAAACGGGATTACATATAAAAAGCAGTCAGCAGCATTCTCAGAAAGTTCTTTGTGATGATTGCATTCAAGTCACAGAATTGAACATTCCCTTTCACAGAGCAGGTTTGAAACACTCTTTTTGTAGTGTGTGTAAGTGGACATTTGGAGCACTTACCGGCCTAAGGTGAAAAAGGAAATATCTTCCCATAAAAACTAGACAGAAGCATTCTCAGAAACTTACTCGTGATGTGTGTCCTCAACTAAAGGAGTAGAACCTTTCTTTTCATAGAGAAGTTTTGAAACGCTCTTTTTGTGGAATCTGCAAGTGGATATTTGGCTAGTTTTGAGGATTTCGTTGGAAGCGGGAATTCATACAAATTGCAGACTGCAGCGTTCTGAGAAACATCTTTGTGATGTTTGTATTCAGGACACAGAGTTGAACATTCCCTATCATAGAGCAGGTTTGAATCACTCCTTTTGTAGTATCTGGAAGTGGACATTTGGAGCGCTTTCAGGCCTATGTTGGAAAAGGAAATATCTTCCCATAACAACTAGACAGAAGCATTCTCAGAAACTTATTTGAGATGTGTGTACTCAACTAAGAGAATTGAACCACCGTTTTGAAGGAGCAGTTTTGAAACACTCTTTTTCTGGAATCTGCAAGTGGATATTTGGCTAGCTTTGGGGATTTCGCTGGAAGCGGGAATACATATAAAAAGCACACAGCAGCGTTCTGAGAAACTGCTTTCTGATGTTTGCATTCAAGTCAAAAGTTGAACACTCCCTTTCATAGAGCAGTCTTGAAACACCCCTTTTGTAGTATCTGGAACTGGACTTTTGGAGCGATTTCAGGGCTAAGGTGAAAAAGGAAATATCTTCCCATAAAAACTGGACAGAAGCATTCTCAGAAACTTGTTTATGCTGTATCTACTCAACTAACAAAGTTGAACCTTTCTTTTGATAGAGCAGTTTTGAAATGGTCTTTTTGTGGAATCTGCAAGTGGATATTTGGCTAGTTTTGAGGATTTCGTTGGAAGCGGGAATTCATACAAATTGCAGACTGCAGCGTTCTGAGAAACATCTTTGTGATGTTTGTATTCAGGACACAGAGTTGAACATTCCCTATCATAGAGCAGGTTGGAATCACTCCTTTTGTAGTATCTGGAAGTGGACATTTGGAGCGCTTTCAGGCCTATTTTGGAAAGGGAAATATCTTCCCGTAACAACTATGCAGAAGCATTCTCAGAAACTTGTTTGTGATGTGTGCCCTCTACTGACAGAGTTGAACCTTTCTTTTCATAGAGCAGTTTTGAAACACTCTTTTTGTAGAATCTGCAAGAGGATATTTGCATAGCTTTGAGGATTTCGTGGGAAACGGGATTGTCTTCAGGTAAAATCTAGACAGAAGCATTCTCAGAAACTTCTTTGGGATGTTTGCATTCAAGTCACAGAGTAGAACATTCCCTTTGGTAGAGCAGGTTTGAAACACTCTTTTTGTAGTATCTGGAAGTGGACATTTGGAGCGCTTTCAGGCCTACGTTGGAAAAGGAAATATCTTCCCATAACAACTAGACAGAAGCATTCTCAGAAACTAGTTTCTGATGTGTGTCCTCAACTAACACAGTTGAACATTTCTTTAGACAGAACAGTTTTGAAACACTCTTTTTGTGGAATCTGCAAGTGGCTATTTGGCTAGATTTGAGGATTTCGTTGGAAACGGGATTACATATAAAAAGCAGTCAGCAGCATTCTCAGAAAGTTCTTTGTGATGATTGCATTCAAGTCACAGAATTGAACATTCCCTTTCACAGAGCAGGTTTGAAACACTCTTTTTGTAGTGTGTGTAAGTGGACATTTGGAGCACTTACCGGCCTAAGGTGAAAAAGGAAATATCTTCCCATAAAAACTAGACAGAAGCATTCTCAGAAACTTACTCGTGATGTGTGTCCTCAACTAAAGGAGTAGAACCTTTCTTTTCATAGAGAAGTTTTGAAACGCTCTTTTTGTGGAATCTGCAAGTGGATATTTGGCTAGTTTTGAGGATTTCGTTGGAAGCGGGAATTCATACAAATTGCAGACTGCAGCGTTCTGAGAAACATCTTTGTGATGTTTGTATTCAGGACACAGAGTTGAACATTCCCTATCATAGAGCAGGTTGGAATCACTCCTTTTGTAGTATCTGGAAGTGGACATTTGGAGCGCTTTCAGGCCTATGTTGGAAAAGGAAATATCTTCCCATAACAACTAGACAGAAGCATTCTCAGAAACTTATTTGAGATGTGTGTACTCAACTAAGAGAATTGAACCACCGTTTTGAAGGAGCAGTTTTGAAACACTCTTTTTCTGGAATCTGCAAGTGGATATTTGGCTAGCTTTGGGGATTTCGCTGGAAGCGGGAATACATATAAAAAGCACACAGCAGCGTTCTGAGAAACTGCTTTCTGATGTTTGCATTCAAGTCAAATTTGAACACTCCCTTTCATAGAGCAGTCTTGAAACACTCCTTTTGTAGTATCTGGAACTGGACATTTCGGGCGCTTTCAGGGCTAAGGTGAAAAAGAAAATATCTTCCCATAAAAACTGGACAGAAGCATTCTGAGAAACTTGTTTATGCTGTATCTACTCAACTAACAAATTTGAACCTTTCTTTTGATAGAGCAGTTTTGAAATGGTCTTTTTGTGGAATCTGCAAGTGGATATTTGGCTAGTTTTGAGGATTTCGTTGGAAGCGGGAATTCATACAAATTGCAGACTGCAGCGTTCTGAGAAACATCTTTGTGATGTTTGTATTCAGGACACAGAGTTGAACATTCCCTATCATAGAGCAGGTTGGAATCACTCCTTTTGTAGTATCTGGAAGTGGACATTTGGAGCGCTTTCAGGCCTATTTTGGAAAGGGAAATATCTTCCCGTAACAACTATGCAGAAGCATTCTCAGAAACTTGTTTGTGATGTGTGCCCTCTACTGACAGATTTGAACCTTTCTTTTCATAGAGCAGTTTTGAAACACTCTTTTTGTAGAATCTGCAAGAGGATATTTGCATAGCTTTGAGGATTTCGTGGGAAACTGGATTGTCTTCAGGTAAAATCTAGACAGAAGCATTCTCAGAAACTTCTTTGGGATGTTTGCATTCAAGTCACAGAGTAGAACATTCCCTTTGGTAGAGCAGGTTTGAAACACTCTTTTTGTAGTATCTGGAAGTGGACATTTGGAGCGCTTTCAGGCCCATGTTGGAAAGGGAAATATCTTCCCGTAACAACTAGGCAGAAGCATTCTCAGAAACTTATTTGAGATGTGTGTACTCAACTAAGAGAATTGAACCACCGTTTTGAAGGAGCAGTTTTGAAACACTCTTTTTCTGGAATCTGCAAGAGTATATTTGCCTAGCCTTGAGGATTTCGTTGGAAACGGGATTGTCTTCAGATAAAATCTAGACAGAAGCATTCTCAGAAACTTCTTTGGGATGTTTGCATTCAAGTCACAGAGTAGAACATTCCCTTTGGTAGAGCAGGTTTGAAACACTCTTTTTGTAGTATATGGAAGGACATTTGGAGCGCTTTCAGGCCTACGTTGGAAAAGGAAATCTCTTCCCATAACAACTAGACAGAAGCATTCTCAGAAACTAGTTTCTGATGTGTGTCCTCAACTAACACAGTTGAACTTTTCTTTAGACAGAACAGTTTTGAAACACTCTTTTTGTGGAATCTGCAAGTGGATATTGGGCTAGATTTGAGGATTTCGTTGGAAACGGGATTACATATAAAAAGCAGACAGCAGCATTCTCAGAAAGTTCTTTGTGATGATTGCATTCAAGTCACAGAATTGAACATTCCCTTTCACAGAGCAGGTTTGAAACACTCTTTTTGTAGTGTGTGTAAGTGGACATTTGGAGCGCTTTCCGGCCTAAGGTGAAAAAGGAAATATCTTCCCATAAAAACTAGACAGAAGCATTCTCAGAAACTTACTCGTGATGTGTGTCCTCAACTAAAGGAGTAGAACCTTTCTATTCATAGAGAAGTTTTGAAACGCTCTTTTTGTGGAATCTCCAAGTGGATATTTGGCTAGTTTTGAGGATTTCGTTGGAAGCGGGAATTCATACAAATTGCAGACTGCAGCGTTCTGAGAAACATCTTTGTGATGTTTGTATTCAGGACACAGAGATGAACATTCCCTATCATAGAGCAGATTGGAATCACTCCTTTTGTAGTATCTGGAAGTGGACATTTGGAGCGCTTTCAGGCCTATGTTGAAAAAGGAAATATCTTCCCATAACAACTAGACACAAGCATTCTCAGAAACTTGTTTGTGATGTGTGCCCTCTACTGACAGAGTTGAACCTTTCTTTTCATAGAGCAGTTTTGAAACACTCTTTTATAGAATCCGCAAGAGGATATTTGGATAGCTTTGAGGATTTCGTGGGAAACGGGATTGTCTTCAGGTAAAATCTAGACAGAAGCATTCTCAGAAACTTCTTTGGGATGTTTGCATTCAAGTCACAGAGTAGAACATTCCCTTTGGTAGAGCAGGTTTGAAACACTCTTTTTGTAGTATCTGGAAGTGGACATTTGGAGCGCTTTCAGGCCCATGTTGGAAAGGGAAATATCTTCCCGTAACAACTAGGCAGAAGCATTCTCAGAAACTTATTTGAGATGTGTGTACTCAACTAAGAGAATTGAACCACCGTTTTGAAGGAGCAGTTTTGAAACCCTCTTTTTCTGGAATCTGCAAGAGTATATTTGCCTAGCCTTGAGGATTTCGCTGGAAACGGGATTGTCTTCAGATAAAATCTAGACAGAAGCATTCTCAGAAACTTCTTTGGGATGTTTGCATTCAAGTCACTGAGTAGAACATTCCCTTTGGTAGAGCAGGTTTGAAACACTCTTTTTTTAGTATATGGAAGTGGACATTTGGAGCGCTTTCAGGCCTACGTTGGAAAAGGAAATATCTTCCCATAACAACTAGACAGAAGCATTCTCAGAAACTAGTTTCTGATGTGTGTCCTCAACTACCACAGTTGTACATTTCTTTACACAGAACAGTTTTGAAACACTCTTTTTGTGGAATCTGCAAGTGGATATTGGGCTAGATTTGAGGATTTCGTTGGAAACGGGATTACATATAAAAAGCAGTCAGCAGCATTCTCAGAAAGTTCTTTGTGATGATTGCATTCAAGTCACAGAATTGAACATTCCCTTTCCAGAGCAGGTTTGAAACACTCTTTTTGTAGTGTGTGTAAGTGGACATTTGGAGCGCTTTCCGGCCTAAGGTGAAAAAGGACATATCTTCCCATAAGAACTAGACAGAAGCATTCTCAGAAACTTACTCGTGATGTGTGTCCTCAACTAAAGGAGTAGAACCTTTCTTTTCATAGAGAAGTTTTGAAACGCTCTTTTTGTGGAATCTGCAAGTGGATATTTGGCTAGTTTTGAGGATTTCGTTGGAAGCGGGAATTCATACAAATTGCAGACTGCAGCGTTCTGAGAAACATCTTTGTGATGTTTGTATTCAGGACACAGAGTTGAACATTCCCTATCATAGAGCAGGTTTGAATCACTCCTTTTGTAGTATCTGGAAGTGGACATTTGGAGCGCTTTCAGGCCTATGTTGGAAAAGGAAATATCTTCCCATAACAACTAGACAGAAGCATTCTCAGAAACTTATTTGAGATGTGTGTACTCAACTAAGAGAATTGAACCACCGTTTTGAAGGAGCAGTTTTGAAACTCTCTTTTTCTGGAATCTGCAAGTGGATATTTGGCTAGCTTTGGGGATTTCGCTGGAAGCGGGAATACATATAAAAAGCACACAGCAGCGTTCTGAGAAACTGCTTTCTGATGTTTGCATTCAAGTCAAAAGTTGAACACTCCCTTTCATAGGGCAGTCCTGAAACACCCCTTTTGTAGTATCTGGAACTGGACTTTTGGAGCGATTTCAGGGCTAAGGTGAAAAAGGAAATATCTTCCCATAAAAACTGGACAGAAGCATTCTCAGAAAGTTATTTGAGATGGGTGTACTCAACTAAGAGAATTGAACCACCGTTTTCAAGGAGCAGTTTTGAAACGCTCTTTTTCTGGAATCTGCAAGTGGATATTTGGCTAGCTTTGGGGATTTCGCTGGAAGCGGGAATACATATAAAAAACACACAGCAGCGTTCTGAGAAACTGCTTTCTGATGTTTGCATTCAAGTCAAAAGTTGAACACTCCCTTTCATAGAGCAGTCTTGAAACACCCCTTTTGTAGTATCTGGAACTGGACTTTTGGAGCGATTTCAGGGCTAAGGTGAAAAAGGAAATATCTTCCCATAAAAACTGGACAGAAGCATTCTCAGAAACTTGTTTATGCTGTATCTACTCAACTAACAAAGTTGAACCTTTCTTTTGATAGAGCAGTTTTGAAATGGTCTTTTTGTGGAATCTCCAAGTGGATATTTGGCTAGTTTTGAGGATTTCGTTGGAAGCGGGAATTCATACAAATTGCAGACTGCAGCGTTATGAGAAACATCTTTGTGATGTTTGTATTCAGGACACAGAGTTGAACATTCCCTATCATAGAGCAGGTTGGAATCACTCCTTTTGTAGTATCTGGAAGTGGACATTTGGAGCGCTTTCAGGCCTATTTTGGACAGGGAAATATCTTCCCATAACAACTATGCAGAAGCATTCTCAGAAACTTGTTTGTGATGTGTGCCCTCTACTGACAGAGTTGAACCTTTCTTTTCTTAGAGCAGTTTTGAAACACTCTTTTTGTAGAATCTGCAAGAGGATATTTGCATAGCTTTGAGGATTTCGTGGGAAACGGGATTGTCCTTCAGGTAAAATCTAGACAGAAGCATTCTCAGAAACTTCTTTGGGATGTTTGCATTCAAGTCACAGAGTAGAACATTCCCTTTGGTAGAGCAGGTTTGAAACACTCTTTTTGTAGTATCTGGAAGTGGACATTTGGAGCGCTTTCAGGCCCATGTTGGAAAAGGAAATATCTTCCCGTAACAACTAGGCAGAAGCATTCTCAGAAACTTATTTGAGATGTGTGTACTCAACTAAGAGAATTGAACCACCGTTTTGAAGGAGCAGTTTTGAAACACTCTTTTTCTGGAATCTGCAAGAGTATATTTGCCTAGCCTTGAGGATTTCGTTGGAAACGGGATTGTCTTCAGAGAAAATCTAGACAGAAGCATTCTCAGAAACTTCTTTGGGATGTTTGCATTCAAGTCACAGAGTAGAACATTCCCTTTGGTAGAGCAGGTTTGAAACACTCTTTTTTTAGTATATGGAAGTGGACATTTTGATCGCTTTCAGGCCTACGTTGGAAAAGGAAATATCTTCCCATAACAACTAGACAGAAGCATTCTCAGAAACTAGTTTCTGATGTGTGTCCTCAACTAACACAGTTGAACATTTCTTTAGACAGAACAGTTTTGAAACACTCTTTTTGTGGAATCTGCAAGTGGCTATTTGGCTAGATTTGAGGATTTCGTTAGAAACGGGATTACATATAAAAAGCAGTCAGCAGCATTCTCAGAAAGTTCTTTGTGATGATTGCATTCAAGTCACAGAATTGAACATTCCCTTTCACAGAGCAGGTTTGAAACACTCTTTTTGTAGTGTGTGTAAGTGGACATTTGGAGCACTTACCGGCCTAAGGTGAAAAAGGAAATATCTTCCCATAAAAACTAGACAGAAGCATTCTCAGAAACTTACTCGTGATGTGTGTCCTCAACTAAAGGAGTAGAACCTTTCTTTTCATAGAGAAGTTTTGAAACGCTCTTTTTGTGGAATCTGCAAGTGGATATTTGGCTAGTTTTGAGGATTTCGTTGGAAGCGGGAATTCATACAAATTGCAGACTGCAGCGTTCTGAGAAACATCTTTGTGATGTTTGTATTCAGGACACAGAGTTGAACATTCCCTATCATAGAGCAGGTTTGAATCACTCCTTTTGTAGTATCTGGAAGTGGACATTTGGAGCGCTTTCAGGCCTATGTTGGAAAAGGAAATATCTTCCCATAACAACTAGACAGAAGCATTCTCAGAAACTTATTTGAGATGTGTGTACTCAACTAAGAGAATTGAATCACCGTTTTGAAGGAGCAGTTTTGAAACACTCTTTTTCTGGAATCTGCAAGTGGATATTTGGCTAGCTTTGGGGATTTCGCTGGAAGCGGGAATACATATAAAAAGCACACAGCAGCGTTCTGAGAAACTGCTTTCTGATGTTTGCATTCAAGTCAAAAGTTGAACACTCCCTTTCATAGAGCAGTCCTGAAACACTCCTTTTGTAGTATCTGGAACTGGACTTTTGGAGCGCTTTCAGGGCTAAGGTGAAAAAGGAAATATCTTCCCATAAAAACTGGACAGAAGCATTCTCAGAAACTTGTTTATGCTGTATCTACTCAACTAACAAAGTTGAACCTTTCTTTTGATAGAGCAGTTTTGAAATGCTCTTTTTGTGGAATCTGCAAGTGGATATTTGGCTAGTTTTGAGGATTTCGTTGGAAGCGGGAATTCATACAAATTGCAGACTGCAGCGTTCTGAGAAACATCTTTGTGATGTTTGTATTCAGGACAGAGAGTTGAACATTCCCTATCATAGAGCAGGTTGGAATCACTCCTTTTGTAGTATCTGGAAGTGGACATTTGGAGCGCTTTCTGGCCTATGTTGAAAAAGGAAATATCTTCCCATAACAACTAGACACAAGCATTCTCAGAAACTTGTTTGTGATGTGTGCCCTCTACTGACAGAGTTGAACCTTTCTTTTCATAGAGCAGTTTTGAAACACTCTTTTTGTAGAATCTGCAAGAGGATATTTGCATAGCTTTGAGGATTTCGTGGGAAACGGGATTGTCTTCAGGTAAAATCTAGACAGAAGCATTCTCAGAAACTTCTTTGGGATGTTTGCATTCAAGTCACAGAGTAGAACATTCCCTTTGGTAGAGCAGGTTTGAAACACTCTTTTTGTAGTATCTGGAAGTGGACATTTGGAGCGCTTTCAGGCCCATGTTGGAAAGGGAAATATCTTCCCGTAACAACTAGGCAGAAGCATTCTCAGAAACTTATTTGAGATGTGTGTACTCAACTAAGAGAATTGAACCACCGTTTTGAAGGAACAGTTTTGAAACACTCTTTTTCTGGAATCTGCAAGAGTATATTTGCCTAGCCTTGAGGATTTCGTTGGAAACGGGATTGTCTTCAGAGAAAATCTAGACAGAAGCATTCTCAGAAACTTCTTTGGGATGTTTGCATTCAAGTCACAGAGTAGAACATTCCCTTTGGTAGAGCAGGTTTGAAACACTCTTTTTTTAGTATATGGAAGTGGACATTTGGAGCGCTTCAGGCCTACGTTGGAAAAGGAAATATCTTCCCATAACAACTAGACAGAAGCATTCTCAGAAACTAGTTTCTGATGTGTGTCCTCAACTAACACAGTTGTACATTTCTTTAGACAGAACAGTTTTGAAACACTCTTTTTGTGGAATCTGCAAGTGGATATTGGGCTAGATTTGAGGATTTCGTTGGAAACGGGATTACATATAAAAAGCAGTCAGCAGCATTCTCAGAAAGTTCTTTGTGATGATTGCATTCAAGTCACAGAATTGAACATTCCCTTTCACAGAGCAGGTTTGAAACACTCTTTTTGTAGTGTGTGTAAGTGGACATTTGGAGCGCTTTCCGGCCTAAGGTGAAAAAGGACATATCTTCCCATAAAAACTAGACAGAAGCATTCTCAGAAACTTACTCGTGATGTGTGTCCTCAACTAAAGGAGTAGAACCTTTCTATTCATAGAGAAGTTTTGAAACGCTCTTTTTGTGGAATCTCCAAGTGGATATTTGGCTAGTTTTGAGGATTTCGTTGGAAGCGGGAATTCATCCAAATTGCAGACTGCAGCGTTCTGAGAAACATCTTTGTGATGTTTGTATTCAGGACACAGAGATGAACATTCCCTATCATAGAGCAGGTTGGAATCACTCCTTTTGTAGTATCTGGAAGTGGACATTTGGAGCGCTTTCAGGCCTATGTTGAAAAAGGAAATATCTTCCCATAACAACTAGACACAAGCATTCTCAGAAACTTGTTTGTGATGTGTGCCCTCTACTGACAGAGTTGAACCTTTCTTTTCATAGAGCAGTTTTGAAACACTCTTTTTGTAGAATCCGCAAGAGGATATTTGCATAGCTTTGAGGATTTCGTGGGAAACGGGATTGTCTTCAGGTAAAATACTAGACAGAAGCATTCTCAGAAACTTCTCTGGGATGTTTGCATTCAAGTCACAGAGTAGAACATTCCCTTTGGTAGAGCAGGTTTGAAACACTCTTTTTGTAGTATCTGGAAGTGGACATTTGGAGCGCTTTCAGGCCCATGTTGGAAAGGGAAATATCTTCCCGTAACAACTAGGCAGAAGCATTCTCAGAAACATATTTGAGATGTGTGTACTCAACTAAGAGAATTGAACCACCGTTTCGAAGGAGCAGTTTTGAAACACCCTTTTTCTGGAATCTGCAAGAGTATATTTGCCTAGCCTTGAGGATTTCGTTGGAAACGGGATTGTCTTCAGATCAAATCTAGACAGAAGCATTCTCAGAAACTTCTTTGGGATGTTTGCATTCAAGTCACAGAGTAGAACATTCCCTTTGGCAGAGCAGGTTTGAAACACTCTTTTTGTAGTATCTGGAAGTGGACATTTGGAGCGCTTTCAGGCCTATGTTGGAAAGGGAAATATCTTCCCTTAACAACTAGGCAGAAGCATTCTCAGAAACTTATTTGAGATGTGTGTACTCAACTAAGAGAATTGAACCACCGTTTTGAAGGACCAGTTTTGAAACACTCTTTTTCTGGAATCTGCTAGAGGATATTTGCCAGCTTTGAGGATTTCGTTGGAAACGGGATTGTCTTCAGATAAAATCTAGACAGAAGCATTCTCAGAAACTTCTTTGGGATGTTTGCATTCAAGTCACAGAGTAGAACATTCCCTTTGGTAGAGCAGGTTTGAAACCCTCCTTTTGTAGTATCTGGAAGTGGACATTTGGAGCGCTTTCAGGCCCATGTTGGAAAGGGAAATATCTTCCCGTAACAACTAGGCAGAAGCATTCTCAGAAACTTATTTGAGATGTGTGTACTCAACTAAGAGAATTGAACCACCGTTTTGAAGGAGCAGTTTTGAAACACTCTTTTTCTGGAATCTGCAAGAGTATATTTGCCTAGCCTTGAGGATTTCGTTGGAAACGGGATTGTCTTCAGATAAAATCTAGACAGAAGCATTCTCAGAAACTTCTTTGGGATGTTTGCATTCAAGTCACAGAGTAGAACATTCCCTTTGGTAGAGCAGATTTGAAACACTCTTTTTTTAGTATATGGAAGTGGACATTTGGAGCGCTTTCAGGCCTACGTTGGAAAAGGAAATATCTTCCCATAACAACTAAACAGAAGCATTCTCAGAAACTAGTTTCTGATGTGTGTCCTCAACTAACACAGTTGAACTTTTCTTTAGACAGAACAGTTTTGAAACACTCTTTTTGTGGAATCTGCAAGTGGCTATTTGGCTAGATTTGAGGATTTCGTTGGAAACGGGATTACATATAAAAAGCAGTCAGCAGCATTCTCAGAAAGTTCTTTGTGATGATTGCATTCAAGTCACAGAATTGAACATTCCCTTTCACAGAGCAGGTTTGAAACACTCTTTTTGTAGTGTGTGTAAGTGGACATTTGGAGCACTTACCGGCCTAAGGTGAAAAAGGAAATATCTTCCCATAAAAACTAGACAGAAGCATTCTCAGAAACTTACTCGTGATGTGTGTCCTCAACTAAAGTAGTAGAACCTTTCTTTTCATAGAGAAGTTTTGAAACGCTCTTTTTGTGGAATCTGCAAGTGGATATTTGGCTAGTTTTGAGGATTTCGTTGGAAGCGGGAATTCATACAAATTGCAGACTGCAGCGTTCTGAGAAACATCTTTGTGATGTTTGTATTCAGGACACAGAGTTGAACATTCCCTATCATAGAGCAGGTTGGAATCACTCCTTTTGTAGTATCTGGAAGTGGACATTTGGAGCGCTTTCAGGCCTATGTTGGAAAAGGAAATATCTTCCCATAACAACTAGACAGAAGCATTCTCAGAAACTTATTTGAGATGTGTGTACTCAACTAAGAGAATTGAACCACCGTTTTGAAGGAGCAGTTTTGAAACACTCTTTTTCTGGAATCTGCAAGTGGATATTTGGCTAGCTTTGGGGATTTCGCTGGAAGCGGGAATACATATAAAAAGCACACAGCAGCGTTCTGAGAAACTGCTTTCTGATGTTTGCATTCAAGTCAAAAGTTGAACACTCCCTTTCATAGAGCAGTCCTGAAACACTCCTTTTGTAGTATCTGGAACTGGACTTTTGGAGCGCTTTCAGGGCTAAGGTGAAAAAGGAAATATCTTCCCATAAAAACTGGACAGAAGCATTCTCAGAAACTTATTTATGCTGTATCTACTCAACTAACAAAGTTGAACCTTTCTTTTGATAGAGCAGTTTTGAAATGCTCTTTTTGTGGAATCTGCAAGTGGATATTTGGCTAGTTTTGAGGATTTCGTTGGAAGCGGGAATTCATACAAATTGCAGACTGCAGCGTTCTGAGAAACATCTTTGTGATGTTTGTATTCAGGACACAGAGTTGAACATTCCCTATCATAGAGCAGGTTTGAATCACTCCTTTTGTAGTATCTGGAAGTGGACATTTGGAGCGCTTTCAGGCCTATGTTAGAAAAGGAAATATCTTCCCATAACAACTAGACAGAAGCATTCTCAGAAACTTATTTGAGATGTGTGTACTCAACTAAGAGAATTGAACCACCGTTTTGAAGGAGCAGTTTTGAAACACTCTTTTTCTGGAATCTGCAAGTGGATATTTGGCTAGCTTTGGGGATTTCGCTGGAAGCGGGAATACATATAAAAAGCACACAGCAGCGTTCTGAGAAACTGCTTTCTGATGTTTGCATTCAAGTCAAAAGTTGAACACTCCCTTTCATAGAGCAGTCCTGAAACACTCCTTTTGTAGTATCTGGAACTGGACTTTTGGAGCGCTTTCAGGGCTAAGGTGAAAAAGGAAATATCTTCCCATAAAAACTGGACAGAAGCATTCTCAGAAACTTACTCGTATTGTGTGTCCTCAACTAAAGGAGTAGAACCTTTCTTTTCATAGAGAAGTTTTGAAACGCTCTTTTTGTGGAATCTGCAAGTGGATATTTGGCTAGTTTTGAGGATTTCGTTGGAAGCGGGAATTCATACAAATTGCAGACTGCAGCGTTCTGAGAAACATCTTTGTGATGTTTGTATTCAGGACACAGAGTTGAACATTCCCTATCATAGAGCAGGTTTGAATCACTCCTTTTGTAGTATCTGGAAGTGGACATTTGGAGCGCTTTCAGGCCTATGTTGGAAAAGGAAATATCTTCCCATAACAACTAGACAGAAGCATTCTCAGAAACTTATTTGAGATGTGTGTACTCAACTAAGAGAATTGAACCACCGTTTTGAAGGAGCAGTTTTGAAACTCTCTTTTTCTGGAATCTGCAAGTGGATATTTGGCTAGCTTTGGGGATTTCGCTGGAAGCGGGAATACATATAAAAAGCACACAGCAGCGTTCTGAGAAACTGCTTTCTGATGTTTGCATTCAAGTCAAAAGTTGAACACTCCCTTTCATAGAGCAGTCCTGAAACACCCCTTTTGTAGTATCTGGAACTGGACTTTTGGAGCGATTTCAGGGCTAAGGTGAAAAAGGAAATATCTTCCCATAAAAACTGGACAGAAGCATTCTCAGAAACTTGTTTATGCTGTATCTACTCAACTAACAAAGTTGAACCTTTCTTTTGATAGAGCAGTTTTGAAATGGTCTTTTTGTGGAATCTGCAAGTGGATATTTGGCTAGTTTTGAGGATTTCGTTGGAAGCGGGAATTCATACAAATTGCAGACTGCAGCGTTCTGAGAAACATCTTTGTGATGTTTGTATTCAGGACACAGAGTTGAACATTCCCTATCATAGAGCAGGTTGGAATCACTCCTTTTGTAGTATCTGGAAGTGGACATTTGGAGCGCTTTCAGGCCTATTTTGGAAAGGGAAATATCTTCCCGTAACAACTATGCAGAAGCATTCTCAGAAACTTGTTTGTGATGTGTGCCCTCTACTGACAGAGTTGAACCTTTCTTTTCATAGAGCAGTTTTGAAACACTCTTTTTGTAGAATCTGCAAGAGGATATTTGCATAGCTTTGAGGATTTCGTGGGAAACGGGATTGTCTTCAGGTAAAATCTAGACAGAAGCATTCTTAGAAACTTCTTTGGGATGTTTGCATTCAAGTCACAGAGTAGAACATTCCCTTTGGTAGAGCAGGTTTGAAACACTCTTTTTGTAGTATCTGGAAGTGGACTTTTGGAGTGGTTTCAGGCCCATGTTGGAAAGGGAAATATCTTCCCGTAACAACTAGGCAGAAGCATTCTCAGAAACTTATTTGAGATGTGTGTACTCAACTAAGAGAATTGAACCACCGTTTTGAAGGAGCAGTTTTGAAACACTCTTTTTCTGGAATCTGCAAGAGTATATTTGCCTAGCCTTGAGGATTTCGTTGGAAACGGGATTGTCTTCAGAGAAAATCTAGACAGAAGCATTCTCAGAAACTTCTTTGGGATGTTTGCATTCAAGTCACAGAGTAGAACATTCCCTTTGGTAGAGCAGGTTTGAAACACTCTTTTTTTAGTATCTGGAAGTGGACATTTGGAGCGCTTTCAGGCCTACGTTGGAAAAGGAAATATCTTCCCATAACAACTAGACAGAAGCATTCTCAGAAACTAGTTTCTGATGTGTGTCCTCAACTAACACAGTTGAACATTTCTTTAGACAGAACAGTTTTGAAACACTCTTTTTGTGGAATCTGCAAGTGGCTATTTGGCTAGATTTGAGGATTTCGTTGGAAACGGGATTACATATAAAAAGCAGTCAGCAGCATTCTCAGAAAGTTCTTTGTGATGATTGCATTCAAGTCACAGAATTGAACATTCCCTTTCACAGAGCAGGTTTGAAACACTCTTTTTGTAGTGTGTGTAAGTGGACATTTGGAGCACTTACCGGCCTAAGGTGAAAAAGGAAATATCTTCCCATAAAAACTAGACAGAAGCATTCTCAGAAACTTACTCGTGATGTGTGTCCTCAACTAAAGGAGTAGAACCTTTCTTTTCATAGAGAAGTTTTGAAACGCTCTTTTTGTGGAATCTGCAAGTGGATATTTGGCTAGTTTTGAGGATTTCGTTGGAAGCGGGAATTCATACAAATTGCAGACTGCAGCGTTCTGAGAAACATCTTTGTGATGTTTGTATTCAGGACACAGAGTTGAACATTCCCTATCATAGAGCAGGTTGGAATCACTCCTTTTGTAGTATCTGGAAGTGGACATTTGGAGCGCTTTCAGGCCTATGTTGGAAAAGGAAATATCTTCCCATAACAACTAGACAGAAGCATTCTCAGAAACTTATTTGAGATGTGTGTACTCAACTAAGAGAATTGAACCACCGTTTTGAAGGAGCAGTTTTGAAACTCTCTTTTTCTGGAATCTGCAAGTGGATATTTGGCTAGCTTTGGGGATTTCGCTGGAAGCGGGAATACATATAAAAAGCACACAGCAGCGTTCTGAGAAACTGCTTTCTGATGTTTGCATTCAAGTCAAAAGTTGAACACTCCCTTTCATAGAGCAGTCTTGAAACACCCCTTTTGTAGTATCTGGAACTGTTCTTTTGGAGCGATTTCAGGGCTAAGGTGAAAAAGGAAATATCTTCCCATAAAAACTGGACAGAAGCATTCTCAGAAACTTGGTTATGCTGTATCTACTCAACTAACAAAGTTGAACCTTTCTTTTGATAGAGCAGTTTTGAAATGGTCTTTTTGTGGAATCTGCAAGTGGATATTTGGCTAGTTTTGAGGATTTCGTTGGAAGCGGGAATTCATACAAATTGCAGACTGCAGCGTTCTGAGAAACATCTTTGTGATGTTTGTATTCAGGACACAGAGTTGAACATTCCCTATCATAGAGCAGGTTGGAATCACTCCTTTTGTAGTATCTGGAAGTGGACATTTGGAGCGCTTTCAGGCCTATTTTGGAAAGGGAAATATCTTCCCGTAACAACTATGCAGAAGCATTCTCAGAAACTTGTTTGTGATGTGTGCCCTCTACTGACAGAGTTGAACCTTTCTTTTCATAGAGCAGTTTTGAAACACTCTTTTTGTAGAATCTGCAAGAGGATATTTGCATAGCTTTGAGGATTTCGTGGGAAACGGGATTGTCTTCAGGTAAAATCTAGACAGAAGCATTCTCAGAAACTTCTTTGGGATGTTTGCATTCAAGTCACAGAGTAGAACATTCCCTTTGGTAGAGCAGGTTTGAAACACTCTTTTTGTAGTATCTGGAAGTGGACATTTGGAGCGCTTTCAGGCCCATGTTGGAAAGGGAAATATCTTCCCGTAACAACTAGGCAGAAGCATTCTCAGAAACTTATTTGAGATGTGTGTACTCAACTAAGAGAATTGAACCACCGTTTTGAAGGAGCAGTTTTGAAACACTCTTTTTCTGGAATCTGCAAGAGTATATTTGCCTAGCCTTGAGGATTTCGTTGGAAACGGGATTGTCTTCAGAGAAAATCTAGACAGAAGCATTCTCAGAAACTTCTTTGGGATGCTTGCATTCCAGTCACAGAGTAGAACATTCCCTTTGGTAGAGCAGGTTTGAAACACTCTTTTTTTAGTATCTGGAAGTGGACATTTGGAGCGCTTTCAGGCCTACGTTGGAAAAGGAAATATCTTCCCATAACAACTAGACAGAAGCATTCTCAGAAACTAGTTTCTGATGTGTGTCCTCAACTAACACAGTTGAACATTTCTTTAGACAGAACAGTTTTGAAACACTCTTTTTGTGGAATCTGCAAGTGGCTATTTGGCTAGATTTGAGGATTTCGTTGGAAACGGGATTACATATAAAAAGCAGTCAGCAGCATTCTCAGAAAGTTCTTTGTGATGATTGCATTCAAGTCACAGAATTGAACATTCCCTTTCACAGAGCAGGTTTGAAACACTCTTTTTGTAGTGTGTGTAAGTGGACATTTGGAGCACTTACCGGCCTAAGGTGAAAAAGGAAATATCTTCCCATAAAAACTAGACAGAAGCATTCTCAGAAACTTACTCGTGATGTGTGTCCTCAACTAAAGGAGTAGAACCTTTCTTTTCATAGAGAAGTTTTGAAACGCTCTTTTTGTGGAATCTGCAAGTGGATATTTGGCTAGTTTTGAGGATTTCGTTGGAAGCGGGAATTCATACAAATTGCAGACTGCAGCGTTCTGAGAAACATCTTTGTGATGTTTGTATTCAGGACACAGAGTTGAACATTCCCTATCATAGAGCAGGTTTGAATCACTCCTTTTGTAGTATCTGGAAGTGGACATTTGGAGCGCTTTCAGGCCTATGTTGGAAAAGGAAATATCTTCCCATAACAACTAGACAGAAGCATTCTCAGAAACTTATTTGAGATGTGTGTACTCAACTAAGAGAATTGAACCACCGTTTTGAAGGAGCAGTTTTGAAACACTCTTTTTCTGGAATCTGCAAGTGGATATTTGGCTAGCTTTGGGGATTTCGCTGGAAGCGGGAATACATATAAAAAGCACACAGCAGCGTTCTGAGAAACTGCTTTCTGATGTTTGCATTCAAGTCAAAAGTTGAACACTCCCTTTCATAGAGCAGTCTTGAAACACCCCTTTTGTAGTATCTGGAACTGGACTTTTGGAGCGATTTCAGGGCTAAGGTGAAAAAGGAAATATCTTCCCATAAAAACTGGACAGAAGCATTCTCAGAAACTTGTTTATGCTGTATCTACTCAACTAACAAAGTTGAACCTTTCTTTTGATAGAGCAGTTTTGAAATGGTCTTTTTGTGGAATCTGCAAGTGGATATTTGGCTAGTTTTGAGGATTTCGTTGGAAGCGGGAATTCATACAAATTGCAGACTGCAGCGTTCTGAGAAACATCTTTGTGATGTTTGTATTCAGGACACAGAGTTGAACATTCCCTATCATAGAGCAGGTTGGAATCACTCCTTTTGTAGTATCTGGAAGTGGACATTTGGAGCGCTTTCAGGCCTATTTTGGAAAGGGAAATATCTTCCCGTAACAACTATGCAGAAGCATTCTCAGAAACTTGTTTGTGATGTGTGCCCTCTACTGACAGAGTTGAACCTTTCTTTTCATAGAGCAGTTTTGAAACACTCTTTTTGTAGAATCTGCAAGAGGATATTTGCATAGCTTTGAGGATTTCGTGGGAAACGGGATTGTCTTCAGGTAAAATCTAGACAGAAGCATTCTCAGAAACTTCTTTGGGATGTTTGCATTCAAGTCACAGAGTAGAACATTCCCTTTGGTAGAGCAGGTTTGAAACACTCTTTTTGTAGTATCTGGAAGTGGACATTTGGAGCGCTTTCAGGCCTATGTTGGAAAGGGAAATATCTTCCCGTAACAACTAGGCAGAAGCATTCTCAGAAACTTATTTGAGATGTGTGTACTCAACTAAGAGAATTGAACCACCGTTTTGAAGGAGCAGTTTTGAAACACTCTTTTTCTGCAATCTGCAAGAGGATATTTGCCTAGCCTTGAGGATTTCGTTGGAAACGGGATTGTCTTCAGATCAAATCTAGACAGAAGCATTCTCAGAAACTTCTTTGGGATGTTTGCATTCAAGTCACAGAGTAGAACATTCCCTTTGGTAGAGCAGGTTTGAAACACTCTTTTTTTAGTATATGGAAGTGGACATTTGGAGCGCTTTCAGGCCTACGTTGGAAAAGGAAATATCTTCCCATAACAACTAGACAGAAGCATTCTCAGAAACTAGTTTCTGATGTGTGTCCTCAACTAACACAGTTGAACATTTCTTTAGACAGAACAGTTTTGAAACTCTCTTTTTGTGGAATCTGCAAGTGGCTATTTGGCTAGATTTGAGGATTTCGTTGGAAACGGGATTACATATAAAAAGCAGACAGCAGCATTCTCAGAAAGTTCTTTGTGATGATTGCATTCAAGTCACAGAATTGAACATTCCCTTTCACAGAGCAGGTTTGAAACACTCTTTTTGTAGTGTGTGTAAGTGGACATTTGGAGCACTTTCCGGCCTAAGGTGAAAAAGGAAATATCTTCCCATAAAAACTAGACAGAAGCATTCTCAGAAACTTACTCGTGATGTGTGTCCTCAACTAAAGGAGTAGAACCTTTCTTTTCATAGAGAAGTTTTGAAACGCTCTTTTTGTGGAATCTGCAAGTGGATATTTGGCTAGTTTGGAGGATTTCGTTGGAAGCGGGAATTCATACAAATTGCAGACTGCAGCGTTCTGAGAAACATCTTTGTGATGTTTGTATTCAGGACACAGAGTTGAACGTTCCCTATCATAGAGCAGGTTTGAATCACTCCTTTTGTAGTATCTGGAAGTGGACATTTGGAGCGCTTTCCGGCCTCAGGTGAAAAAGGAAATATCTTCCCATAAAAACTAGACAGAAGCATTCTCAGAAACCTATTTGAGATGTGTGTACTCAACTAAGAGAATTGAACCACCGTTTTGAAGGAGCAGTTTTGAAACACTCTTTTTCTGGAATCTACAAGTGGATATTTGGCTAGCTTTGGGGATTTCGCTGGAAGCGGGAATACATATAAAAAGCACACAGCAGCGTTCTGAGAAACTGCTTTCTGATGTTTGCATTCACGTCAAAAGTTGAACACTCCCTTTCATAGAGCAGGCTTGAAACACCCCTTTTGTAGTATCTGGAAGTGGACATTTGGAGCGCTTTCAGGGCTAAGGTGAAAAAGGAAATATCTTCCCATAAAAACTGGACAGAAGCATTCTCAGAAACTTGTTTATGCTGTATCTACTCAACTAACAAAGTTGAACCTTTCTTTTGATAGAGCAGTTTTGAAATGCTCTTTTTGTGGAATCTGCAAGTGGATATTTGGCTAGTTTTGAGGATTTCGGTTGGAAGCGGGAATTCATACAAATTGCAGACTGCAGCGTTCTGAGAAACATCTTTGTGATGTTTGTATTCAGGACAGAGAGTTGAACATTCCCTATCATAGAGCAGGTTGGAATCACTCCTTTTGTAGTATCTGGAAGTGGACATTTGGAGCGCTTTCAGGCCTATGTTGAAAAAGGAAATATCTTCCCATAACAACTAGACACAAGCGTTCTCAGAAACTTGTTTGTGATGTGTGCCCTCCACTGACAGAGTTGAACCTTTCTTTTCATAGAGCAGTTTTGAAACACTCTTTTTGTAGAATCTGCAAGAGGATATTTGCATAGCTTTGAGGATTTCGTGGGAAACGGGATTGTCTTCAGGTAAAATCTAGACAGAAGCATTCTCAGAAACTTCTTTGGGATGTTTGCATTCAAGTCACAGAGTAGAACATTCCCTTTGGTAGAGCAGGTTTGAAACACTCTTTTTGTAGTATCTGGAAGTGGACATTTGGAGCGCTTTCAGGCCCATGTTGGAAAGGGAAATATCTTCCCGTAACAACTAGGCAGAAGCATTCTCAGAAACTTATTTGAGATGTGTGTACTCAACTAAGAGAATTGAACCACCGTTTTGAAGGAGCAGTTTTGAAACACTCTTTTTCTGGAATCTGCAAGAGTATATTTGCCTAGCCTTGAGGATTTCGTTGGAAACGGGATTGTCTTCAGAGAAAATCTAGACAGAAGCATTCTCAGAAACTTCTTTGGGATGCTTGCATTCAAGTCACAGAGTAGAACATTCCCTTTGGTAGAGCAGGTTTGAAACACTCTTTTTGTAGTATCTGGAAGTGGACATTTGGAGCGCTTTCAGGCCTACGTTGGAAAAGGAAATATCTTCCCATAACAACTAGACAGAAGCATTCTCAGAAACTAGTTTCTGATGTGTGTCCTCAACTAACACAGTTGAACATTTCTTTAGACAGAACAGTTTTGAAACACTCTTTTTGTGGAATCTGCAAGTGGCTATTTGGCTAGATTTGAGGATTTCGTTGGAAACGGGATTACATATAAAAAGCAGTCAGCGGCATTCTCAGAAAGTTCTTTGTGATGATTGCATTCAAGTCACAGAATTGAACATTCCCTTTCACAGAGCAGGTTTGAAACACTCTTTTTGTAGTGTGTGTAAGTGGACATTTGGAGCACTTACCGGCCTAAGGTGAAAAAGGAAATAATCTTCCCATAAAAACTAGACAGAAGCATTCTCAGAAACTTACTCGTGATGTGTATCCTCAACTAAAGGAGTAGAACCTTTGTTTTCATAGAGAAGTTTTGAAACGCTCTTTTTGTGGAATCTGCAAGTGGATATTTGGCTAGTTTGGAGGATTTCGTTGGAAGCGGGAATTCATACAAATTGCAGACTGCAGCGTTCTGAGAAACATCTTTGTGATGTTTGTATTCAGGACACAGAGTTGAACATTCCCTATCATAGAGCAGGTTTGAATCACTCCTTTTGTAGTATCTGGAAGTGGACATTTGGAGCGCTTTCAGGCCCTATGTTGGAAAAGGAAATATCTTCCCATAACAAATAGACAGGAAGCATTCTCAGAAACTTATTTGAGATGTGTGTACTCAACTAAGAGAATTGAACCACCGTTTTTAAGGAGCAGTTTTGAAACACTCTTTTTCTGGAATCTGCAAGTGGATATTTGGCTAGCTTTGGGGATTTCGCTGGAAGCGGGAATACATATAAAAAGCACACAGCAGCGTTCTGAGAAACTGCTTTCTGATGTTTGCATTCAAGTCAAAAGTTGAACACTCCCTTTCATAGAGCAGTCCTGAAATACTCCTTTTGTAGTATCTGGAACTGGAATTTTGGAGCGCTTTCAGGGCTAAGGTGAAAAAGGAAATATCTTCCCATAAAAACTGGACAGAAGCATTCTCAGAAACTTGTTTATGCTGTATCTACTCAACTAACAAAGTTGAACCTTTCTTTTGATAGAGCAGTTTTGAAATGCTCTTTTTGTGGAATCTGCAAGTGGATATTTGGCTAGTTTTGAGGATTTCGTTGGAAGCGGGAATTCATACAAATTGCAGACTGCAGGATTCTGAGAAACATCTTTGTGATGTTTGTATTCAGGACAGAGAGTTGAACATTCCCTATCATAGAGCAGGTTGGAATCACTCCTTTTGTAGTATCTGGAAGTGGACATTTGGAGCGCTTTCAGGCCTATGTTGAAAAAGGAAATATCTTCCCATAACAACTAGACACAAGCATTCTCAGAAACTTATTTGAGATGTGTGTACTCAACTAAGAGAATTGAACCACCGTTTTGAAGGAGCAGTTTTGAAACTCTCTTTTTCTGGAATCTGCAAGTGGATATTTGGCTAGCTTTGGGGATTTCGCTGGAAGCGGGAATACATATAAAAAGCACACAGCAGCGTTCTGAGAAACTGCTTTCTGATGTTTGCATTCAAGTCAAAAGTTGAACACTCCCTTTCATAGAGCAGTCTTGAAACACCCCTTTTGTAGTATCTGGAACTGGACTTTTGGAGCGATTTCAGGGCTAAGGTGAAAAAGGAAATATCTTCCCATAAAAACTGGACAGAAGCATTCTCAGAAACTTGTTTATGCTGTATCTACTCAACTAACAAAGTTGAACCTTTCTTTTGATAGAGCAGTTTTGAAATGGTCTTTTTGTGGAATCTGCAAGTGGATATTTGGCTAGTTTTGAGGATTTCGTTGGAAGCGGGAATTCATACAAATTGCAGACTGCAGCGTTCTGAGAAACATCTTTGTGATGTTTGTATTCAGGACACAGAGTTGAACATTCCCTATCATAGAGCAGGTTGGAATCACTCCTTTTGTAGTATCTGGAAGTGGACATTTGGAGCGCTTTCAGGCCTATTTTGGAAAGGGAAATATCTTCCCGTAACAACTATGCAGAAGCATTCTCAGAAACTTGTTTGTGATGTGTGCCCTCTACTGACAGAGTTGAACCTTTCTTTTCATAGAGCAGTTTTGAAACACTCTTTTTGTAGAATCTGCAAGAGGATATTTGCATAGCTTTGAGGATTTCGTGGGAAACGGGATTGTCTTCAGGTAAAATCTAGACAGAAGCATTCTCAGAAACTTCTTTGGGATGTTTGCATTCAAGTCACAGAGTAGAACATTCCCTTTGGTAGAGCAGGTTTGAAACACTCTTTTTGTAGTATCTGGAAGTGGACATTTGGAGCGTTTTCAGGCCCATGTTGGAAAGGGAAATATCTTCCCGTAACAACTAGGCAGAAGCATTCTCAGAAACTTATTTGAGATGTGTGTACTCAACTAAGAGAATTGAACCACCGTTTTGAAGGAGCAGTTTTGAAACACTCTTTTTCTGGAATCTGCAAGAGTATATTTGCCTAGCCTTGAGGATTTCGTTGGAAACGGGATTGTCTTCAGAGAAAATCTAGACAGAAGCATTCTCAGAAACTTCTTTGGGATGTTTGCATTCAAGTCACAGAGTAGAACATTCCCTTTGGTAGAGCAGGTTTGAAACACTCTTTTTTTAGTATATGGAAGTGGACATTTTGATCGCTTTCAGGCCTATGTTGGAAAAGGAAATATCTTCCCATAACAACTAGACAGAAGCATTCTCAGAAACTAGTTTCTGATGTGTGTCCTCAACTAACACAGTTGAACATTTCTTTAGACAGAACAGTTTTGAAACACTCTTTTTGTGGAATCTGCAAGTGGCTATTTGGCTAGATTTGAGGATTTCGTTGGAAACGGGATTACATATAAAAAGCAGTCAGCAGCATTCTCAGAAAGTTCTTTGTGATGATTGCATTCAAGTCACAGAATTGAACATTCCCTTTCACAGAGCAGGTTTGAAACACTCTTTTTGTAGTGTGTGTAAGTGGACATTTGGAGCACTTACCGGCCTAAGGTGAAAAAGGAAATATCTTCCCATAAAAACTAGACAGAAGCACTCTCAGAATCTTACTCGTGATGTGTGTCCTCAACTAAAGGAGTAGAACCTTTCTTTTCATAGAGAAGTTCTGAAACGCTCTTTTTGTGGAATCTGCAAGTGGATATTTGGCTAGTTTTGAGGATTTCGTTGGAAGCGGGAATTCATACAAATTGCAGACTGCAGCGTTCTGAGAAACATCTTTGTGATGTTTGTATTCAGGACACAGAGTTGAACATTCCCTATCATAGAGCAGGTTGGAATCACTCCTTTTGTAGTATCTGGAAGTGGACATTTGGAGCGCTTTCAGGCCTATGTTGGAAAAGGAAATATCTTCCCATAACAACTAGACAGAAGCATTCTCAGAAACTTATTTGAGATGTGTGTACTCAACTAAGAGAATTGAACCACCGTTTTGAAGGAGCAGTTTTGAAACACTCTTTTTCTGGAATCTGCAAGTGGATATTTGGCTAGCTTTGGGGATTTCGCTGGAAGCGGGAATACATATAAAAAGCACACAGCAGCGTTCTGAGAAACTGCTTTCTGATGTTTGCATTCAAGTCAAAAGTTGAACACTCCCTTTCATAGAGCAGTCTTGAAACACCCCTTTTGTAGTATCTGGAACTGGACATTTGGAGCGCTTTCAGGGCTAAGGTGAAAAAGGAAATATCTTCCCATAAAAACTGGACAGAAGCATTCTCAGAAACTTGTTTATGCTGTATCTACTCAACTAACAAAGTTGAACCTTTCTTTTGATAGAGCAGTTTTGAAATGCTCTTTTTGTGGAATCTGCAAGTGGATATTTGGCTAGGTTAGAGGATTTCGTTGGAAGCGGGAATTCATACAAATTGCAGACTGCAGCGTTCTGAGAAACATCTTTGTGATGTTTGTATTCAGGACACAGAGTTGAACATTCCCTATCATAGAGCAGGTTGGAATCACTCCTTTTGTAGTATCTGGAAGTGGACATTTGGAGCGCTTTCAGGCCTATGTTGAAAAAGGAAATATCTTCCCATAACAACTAGGCAGAAGCATTCTCAGAAACTTGTTTGTGATGTGTGCCCTCTACTGACACAGTTGAACCTTTCTTTTCATAGAGCAGTTTCGAAACACTCTTTTTGTAGAATCTGCAAGAGGATATTTGCCTAGCTTTGAGGATTTCGTGGGAAACGGCATTGTCTTCAGGTAAAATCTAGACAGAAGCATTCTCAGAAACTTCTTTGGGATGTTTGCATTCAAGTCACAAAGTAGAACATTCCCTTTGGTAGAGCAGGTTTGAAACACTCTTTTTGTAGTGTGTGTAAGTGGACATTTGGAGCGCTTTCAGGCCTACGTTGGAAAAGGAAATATCTTCCCATAACAACTAGACAGCAGCATTCTCAGAAACTAGTTTCTGATGTGTGTCCTCAACTAACACAGTTGAACATTTCTTTAGACAGAACAGTTTTGAAACACTCTTTTTGTGGAATCTGCAAGTGGATATTTGGCTAGATTTGAGGATTTCGTTGGAAACGGGATTACATATAAAAAGCAGACAGCAGCATTCTCAGAAACTTCTTTGTGATGATTGCATTCAAGTCACAGAATTGAACATTCCCTTTCACAGAGCAGGTTTGAAACACTCTTTTTGTAGTGTGTGTAAGTGGACATTTGGAGCACTTTCCGGCCTAAGGTGAAAAAGGAAATATCTTCCCATAAAAACTAGACAGAAGCATTCTCAGAAACTTACTCGTGATGTGTGTCCTCAACTAAAGGAGTAGAACCTTTCTTTTCATAGAGAAGTTTTGAAACGCTCTTTTTGTGGAATCTGCAAGTGGATATTTGGCTAGTTTTGAGGATTTCGTTGGAAGCGGGAATTCATACAAATTGCAGACTGCAGCGTTCTGAGAAACATCTTTGTGATGTTTGTATTCAGGACAGAGAGTTGAACATTCCCTATCATAGAGCAGGTTGGAATCACTCCTTTTGTAGTATCTGGAAGTGGACATTTGGAGCGCTTTCAGGCCTATGTTGAAAAAGGAAATATCTTCCCATAACAACTAGACACAAGCATTCTCAGAAACTTGTTTGTGATGTGTGCCCTCTACTGACACAGTTGAACCTTTCTTTTCATAGAGCAGTTTTGAAACACTCTTTTTGTAGAATCTGCAAGAGGATATTTGCATAGCTTTGAGGATTTCGTGGGAAACGGGATTGTCTTCAGGTAAAATCTAGACAGAAGCATTCTCAGAAACTTATTTGAGATGTGTGTACTGAACTAAGAGAATTGAACCACCGTTTTGAAGGAGCAGGTTTGAAACACTCTTTTTGTAGTATCTGGAAGTGGACATTTGGAGCGCTTTCAGGCCTATGTTGGAAAGGGAAATATCTTCCCGTAACAACTAGGCAGAAGCATTCTCAGAAACTTATTTGAGATGTGTGTACTCAACTAAGAGAATTGAACCACCGTTTTGAAGGAGCAGTTTTGAAACACTCTTTTTCTGGAATCTGCAAGAGGATATTTGCATAGATTTGAGGATTTCGTTGGAAACGGGATTGTCTTCAGTTGAAATCTAGACAGAAGCATTCTCAGAAACTTCTTTGGGATGTTTGCATTCAAGTCACAGAGTAGAACATTCCCTTTGGTAGAGCAGGTTTGAAACACTCTTTTTTTAGTATATGGAAGTGGACATTTGGAGCGCTTTCAGGCCTACGTTGGAAAAGGAAATATCTTCCCATAACAACTAGACAGAAGCATTCTCAGAAACTAGTTTCTGATGTGTGTCCTCAACTAACACAGTTGAACATTTCTTTAGACAGAACAGTTTTGAAACACTCTCTTTGTGGAATCTGCAAGTGGATATTTGGCTAGATTTGAGGATTTCGTTGGAAACGGGATTACATATAAAAAGCAGACAGCAGCATTCTCAGAAACTTCTTTGTGATGATTGCATTCAAGTCACAGAATTGAACATTCCCTTTCACAGAGCAGGTTTGAAACACTCTTTTTGTAGTGTGTGTAAGTGGACATTTGGAGCGCTTTCCGGCCTAAGGTGAACAAGGAAATATCTTCCCATAAAAACTAGACAGAAGCATTCTCAGAAACTTACTCGTGATGTGTGTCCTCAACTAAAGGAGTAGAACCTTTCTTTTCATAGAGAAGTTTTGAAACGCTCTTTTTGTGGAATCTGCAAGTGGATATTTGGCTAGTTTTGAGGATTTCGTTGGAAGCGGGAATTCATACAAATTGCAGACTGCAGCGTTCTGAGAAACATCTTTGTGATGTTTGTATTCAGGACACAGAGTTGAACGTTCCCTATCATAGAGCAGGTTTGAATCACTCCTTTTGTAGTATCTGGAAGTGGACATTTGGAGCGCTTTCCGGCCTCAGGTGAAAAAGGAAATATCTTCCCATAAAAACTAGACAGAAGCATTCTCAGAAACTTACTCGTGATGTGTGTCCTCAACTAAAGGGGTAGAACCTTTCTTTTGATAGAGCAGTTTTGAAACACTCTTTTTGTAGAATCTGCAAGTGGATATTTTGATAGCTTTGTGGATTTCGTTGGAAACGGGAATATCTTCATATAAAATCTAGAGAGAAGCGTTCTGAGAAACATCTTTGTGATGTTTGTATTCAAGACACAGAGATGAACATTCCCTATCATAGAGCAGGTTGGAATCACTCCTTTTGTAGTATCTGGAAGTGGACATTTGGAGCGCTTTCAGGCCTATGTTGAAAAAGGAAATATCTTCCCATAACAACTAGACACAAGCGTTCTCAGAAACTTGTTTGTGATGTGTGCCCTCCACTGACAGAGTTGAACCTTTCTTTTCATAGAGCAGTTTTGAAACACTCTTTTTGTAGAATCTGCAAGAGGATATTTGCATAGCTTTGAGGATTTCGTGGGAAACGGGATTGTCTTCAGGTAAAATCTAGACAGAAGCATTCTCAGAAACTTCTTTGGGATGTTTGCATTCAAGTCACAGAGTAGAACATTCCCTTTGGTAGAGCAGGTTTGAAACCCTCTTTTTGTAGTATCTGGAAGTGGACATTTGGAGCGCTTTCAGGCCCATGTTGGAAAGGGAAATATCTTCCCGTAACAACTAGGCAGAAGCATTCTCAGAAACTTATTTGAGATGTGTGTACTCAACTAAGAGAATTGAACCACCGTTTTGAAGGAGCAGTTTTGAAACCCTCTTTTTCTGGAATCTGCAAGAGTATATTTGCCTAGCCTTGAGGATTTCGTTGGAAACGGGATTGTCTTCAGATAAAATCTAGATAGAAGCATTCTCAGAAACTTCTTTGGGATGTTTGCATTCAAGTCACAGAGTAGAACATTCCCTTTGGTAGAGCAGGTTTGAAACACTCTTTTTTTAGTATATGGAAGTGGACATTTGGAGCGCTTTCAGGCCTACGTTGGAAAAGGAAATATCTTCCCATAACAACTAGACAGAAGCATTCTCAGAAACTAGTTTCTGATGTGTGTCCTCAACTAACACAGTTGAACATTTCTTTAGACAGAACAGTTTTGAAACACTCTCTTTGTGGAATCTGCAAGTGGATATTTGGCTAGATTTGAGGATTTCGTTGGAAACGGGATTACATATAAAAAGCAGACAGCAGCATTCTCAGAAACTTCTTTGTGATGATTGCATTCAAGTCACAGAATTGAACATTCCCTTTCACAGAGCAGGTTTGAAACACTCTTTTTGTAGTGTGTGTAAGTGGACATTTGGAGCGCTTTCCGGCCTAAGGTGAAAAAGGACATATCTTCCCATAAAAACTAGACAGAAGCATTCTCAGAAACTTACTCGTGATGTGTGTACTCAACTAAAGGAGTAGAACCTTTCTTTTCATAGAGAAGTTTTGAAACGCTCTTTTTGTGGAATCTGCAAGTGGATATTTGGCTAGTTTTGAGGATTTCGTTGGAAGCGGGAATTCATACAAATTGCAGACTGCAGCGTTCTGAGAAACATCTTTGTGATGTTTGTATTCAGGACACAGAGTTGAACATTCCCTATCATAGAGCAGGTTTGAATCACTCCTTTTGTAGTATCTGGAAGTGTCCATTTGGAGCCCTTTCAGGCCTATGTTGGAAAAGGAAATATCTTCCCATAACAAATAGACAGAAGCATTCTCAGAAACTTATTTGAGATGTGTGTACTCAACTAAGAGAATTGAACCACCGTTTTGAAGGAGCAGTTTTGAAACACTCTTTTTCTGGAAGCTGCAAGTGGCTATTTGGCTAGCTTTGGGGATTTCGCTGGAAGCGGGAATACATATAAAAAGCACACAGCAGGGTTCTGAGAAACTTCTTTCTGATGTTCGCATTCAAGTCAAAAGTTGAACACTCCCTTTCATAGAGCAGTCTTGAAACTCCCCTTTTGTGGTATCTGGAAGTGGACATTTGGAGTGCTTTCAGGGCTAAGGTGAAAAAGGAAATATCTTCCCATAAAAACTGGACAGAAGCATTCTCAGAAACTTGTTTATGCTGTATCTACTCAGCTAACAAAGTTGAACCTTTCTTTTGATAGAGCAGTTTTGAAATGCTCTTTTTGTGGAGTCTGCAAGTGGATATTTGGTTAGTTTTGAGGATTTCGTTGGAAGGGGGAATTCATACAAATTGCAGACTGCAGCGTTCTGAGAAACATCTTTGTGATGTTTGTATTCAGGACACAGCAGTTGAACATTCCCTATCATAGAGCAGGTTTGAATCACTCCTTTTGTAGTATCTGGAAGTGGACATTTGGAGCGCTTTCAGGCCTATGTTGGAAAAGGAAATATCTTCCCATAACAACTAGACAGAAGCATTCTCAGAAACTTATTTGAGATGTGTGTACTCAACTAAGAGAATTGAACCACCGTTTTGAAGGAGCAGTTTTGAAACACTCTTTTTCTGGAATCTGCAAGTGGATATTTGGCTAGCTTTGGGGATTTCGCTGGAAGCGGGAATACATATAAAAAGCACACAGCAGCGTTCTGAGAAACTGCTTTCTGATGTTTGCATTCAAGTCAAAAGTTGAACACTCCCTTTCATAGAGCAGTCCTGAAACACTCCTTTTGTAGTATCTGGAACTGGACTTTTGGAGCGCTTTCAGGGCTAAGGTGAAAAAGGAAATATCTTCCCATAAAAACTGGACAGAAGCATTCTCAGAAACTTACTCGTATTGTGTGTCCTCAACTAAAGGAGTAGAACCTTTCTTTTCATAGAGAAGTTTTGAAACGCTCTTTTTGTGGAATCTGCAAGTGGATATTTGGCTAGTTTTGAGGATTTCGTTGGAAGCGGGAATTCATACAAATTGCAGACTGCAGCGTTCTGAGAAACATCTTTGTGATGTTTGTATTCAGGACACAGAGATGAACATTCCCTATCATAGAGCAGGTTGGAATCACTCCTTTTGTAGTATCTGGAAGTGGACATTTGGAGCGCTTTCAGGCCTATGTTGAAAAAGGAAATATCTTCCCATAACAACTAGACACAAGCATTCTCAGAAACTTGTTTGTGATGTGTGCCCTCTACTGACAGAGTTGAACCTTTCTTTTCATAGAGCAGTTTTGAAACACTCTTTTTGTAGAATCCACAAGAGGATATTTGCATCGCTTTGGGGATTTCGTGGGAAACGAGATTGTCTTCAGGTAAAATCTAGACAGAAGCATTCTCAGAAACTTCTTTGGGATGTTTGCATTCAAGTCACAGAGTAGAACATTCCCTTTGGTAGAGCAGGTTTGAAACACTCTTTTTGTAGTATCTGGAAGTGGACATTTGGAGCGCTTTCAGGCCCATGTTGGAAACGGAAATATCTTCCCGTAACAACTAGGCAGAAGCATTCTCAGAAACTTATTTGAGATGTGTGTACTCAACTAAGAGAATTGAACCACCGTTTTGAAGGAGCAGTTTTGAAACACTCTTTTTCTGGAATCTGCAAGAGTATATTTGCCTAGCCTTGAGGATTTCGTTGGAAACGGGATTGTCTTCAGATAAAATCTAGACAGAAGCATTCTCAGAAACTTCTTTGGGATGTTTGCATTCAAGTCACAGAGTAGAACATTCCCTTTGGTAGAGCAGGTTTGAAACACTCTTTTTTTAGTATATGGAAGTGGACATTTGGAGCGCTTTCAGGCCTACGTTGGAAAAGGAAATATCTTCCCATAACAACTAGACAGAAGCATTCTCAGAAACTAGTTTCTGATGTGTGTCCTCAACTAACACAGTTGTACATTTCTTTAGACAGAACAGTTTTGAAACACTCTTTTTGTGGAATCTGCAAGTGGATATTGGGCTAGATTTGAGGATTTCGTTGGAAACGGGATTACATATAAAAAGCAGTCAGCAGCATTCTCAGAAAGTTCTTTGTGATGATTGCATTCAAGTCACAGAATTGAACATTCCCTTTCACAGAGCAGGTTTGAAACACTCTTTTTGTAGTGTGTGTAAGTGGACATTTGGAGCGCTTTCCGGCCTAAGGTGAAAAAGAACATATCTTCCCATAAAAACTAGACAGAAGCATTCTCAGAAACTTACTCGTGATGTGTGTCCTCAACTAAAGGAGTAGAACCTTTCTATTCATAGAGAAGTTTTGAAACGCTCTTTTTGTGGAATCTCCAAGTGGATATTTGGCTAGTTTTGAGGATTTCGTTGGAAGCGGGAATTCATACAAATTGCAGACTGCAGCGTTCTGAGAAACATCTTTGTGATGTTTGTATTCAAGACACAGAGATGAACATTCCCTATCATAGAGCGTGTTGGAATCACTCCTCTTGTAGTATCTGGAAGTGGACATTTGGAGCGCTTTCAGGCCTATGTTGAAAAAGGAAATATCTTCCCATAACAACTAGACAGAAGCATTCTCAGAAACTTGTTTGTGATGTGTGCCCTCTGCTGACAGAGTTGAACCTTTCTTTTCATAGAGCAGTTTTGAAACACTCTTTTTGTAGAATCCGCAAGATGATATTTGCATAGCTTTGAGGATTTCGTGGGAAATGGGATTGTCTTCAGGTAAAATCTAGACAGAAGCATTCTCAGAAACTTCTTTGGGATGTTTGCATTCAAGTCACAGAGTAGAACATTCCCTTTGGTAGAGCAGGTTTGAAACACTCTTTTTGTAGTATCTGGAAGTGGACATTTGGAGCGCATTCAAGCCCATGTTGGAAAGGGAAATATATTCCCGTAACAACTAGGCAGAAGCATTCTCAGAAACTTATTTGAGATGTGTGTACTCAACTAAGAGAATTGAACCACCGTTTTGAAGGACCAGTTTTGAAACACTCTTTTTCTGGAATCTGCAAGAGGATATTTGCCTAGCCTTGAGGATTTCGTTGGAAACGGGATTGTCTTCAGATCAAATCTAGACAGAAGCATTCTCAGAAACTTCTTTGGGATGTTTGCATTCAAGTCACAGAGTAGAACATTCCCTTTGGTAGAGCAGGTTTGAAACACTCTTTTTTTAGTATATGGAAGTGGACATTTGGAGCGCTTTCAGGCCTACGTTGGAAAAGGAAATATCTTCCCATAACAACTAGACAGAAGCATTCTCAGAAACTAGTTTCTGATGTGTGTCCTCAACTAACACAGTTGAACATTTCTTTAGACAGAACAGTTTTGAAACACTCTTTTTGTGGAATCTGCAAGTGGCTATTTGGCTAGATTTGAGGATTTCGTTGGAAACGGGATTACATATAAAAAGCAGTCAGCAGCATTCTCAGAAAGTTCTTTGTGATGATTGCATTCAAGTCACAGAATTGAACATTCCCTTTCACAGAGCAGGTTTGAAACACTCTTTTTGTAGTGTGTGTAAGTGGACATTTGGAGCACTTACCGGCCTAAGGTGAAAAAGGAAATATCTTCCCATAAAAACTAGACAGAAGCATTCTCAGAAACTTACTCGTGATATGTGTCCTCAACTAAAGGAGTAGAACCTTTCTTTTCATAGAGAAGTTTTGAAACGCTCTTTTTGTGGAATCTGCAAGTGGATATTTGGCTAGTTTTGAGGATTTCGTTGGAAGCGGGAATTCATACAAATTGCAGACTGCAGCGTTCTGAGAAACATCTTTGTGATGTTTGTATTCAGGACACAGAGTTGAACATTCCCTATCATAGAGCAGGTTGGAATCACTCCTTTTGTAGTATCTGGAAGTGGACATTTGGAGCGCTTTCAGGCCTATGTTGGAAAAGGAAATATCTTCCCATAACAACTAGACAGAAGCATTCTCAGAAACTTATTTGAGATGTGTGTACTCAACTAAGAGAATTGAACCACCGTTTTGAAGGAGCAGTTTTGAAACTCTCTTTTTCTGGAATCTGCAAGTGGATATTTGGCTAGCTTTGGGGATTTCACTGGAAGCGGGAATACATATAAAAAGCACACAGCAGCGTTCTGAGAAACTGCTTTCTGATGTTTGCATTCAAGTCAAAAGTTGAACACTCCCTTTCATAGAGCAGTCTTGAAACACCCCTTTTGTAGTATCTGGAACTGGACTTTTGGAGCGATTTCAGGGCTAAGGTGAAAAAGGAAATATCTTCCCATAAAAACTGGACAGAAGCATTCTCAGAAACTTGTTTATGCTGTATCTACTCAACTAACAAAGTTGAACCTTTCTTTTGATAGAGCAGTTTTGAAATGGTCTTTTTGTGGAATCTGCAAGTGGATATTTGGCTAGTTTTGAGGATTTCGTTGGAAGCGGGAATTCATACAAATTGCAGACTGCAGCGTTCTGAGAAACATCTTTGTGATGTTTGTATTCAGGACAGAGAGTTGAACATTCCCTATCATAGAGCAGGTTGGAATCACTCCTTTTGTAGTATCTGGAAGTGGACATTTGGAGTGCTTTCAAGCCTATGTTGAAAAAGGAAATATCTTCCCATAACAACTAGACACAAGCATTCTCAGAAACTTGTTTGTGATGTGTGCCCTCTACTGACAGAGTTGAACCTTTCTTTTCATAGAGCAGTTTTGAAACACTCTTTTTGTAGAATCTGCAAGAGGATATTTGCATAGCTTTGAGGATTTCGTGGGAAACGGGATTGTCGTCAGGAAAAATCTAGACAGAAGCATTCTCAGAAACTTCTTTGGGATGTTTGCATTCAAGTCACAGAGTAGAACATTCCCTTTGGTAGAGCAGGTTTGAAACACTCTTTTTGTAGTATCTGGAAGTGGACATTTGGAGCGCTTTCAGGCCTATGTTGGAAAGGGAAATATCTTCCCGTAACAACTAGGCAGAAGCATTCTCAGAAACTTATTTGAGATGTGTGTACTCAACTAAGAGAATTGAACCACCGTTTTGAAGGAGCAGTTTTGAAACACTCTTTTTCTGGAATCTGCAAGAGGATATTTGCCTAGCTTTGAGGATTTCGTTGGAAACGGGATTGTGTTCAGATCAAATCTAGACAGAAGCATTCTCAGAAACTTCTTTGGGATGTTTGCATTCAAGTCACAGAGTAGAACATTCCCTTTGGTAGAGCAGGTGTGAAACACTCTTTTTTTAGTATATGGAAGTGGACATTTGGAGCGCTTTCAGGCCTACGTTGGACAACGAAATATCTTCCCATAACAACTAGACAGAAGCATTCTCAGAAACTAGTTTCTGATGTGTGTCCTCAACTAACACAGTTGAACATTTCTTTAGACAGAACAGTTTTGAAACTCTCTTTTTGTGGAATCTGCAAGTGGCTATTTGGCTAGATTTGAGGATTTCGTTGGAAACGGGATTACATATAAAAAGCAGACAGCAGCATTCTCAGAAAGTTCTTTGTGATGATTGCATTCAAGTCACAGAATTGAACATTCCCTTTCACAGAGCAGGTTTGAAACACTCTTTTTGTAGTGTGTGTAAGTGGACATTTGGAGCACTTTCCGGCCTAAGGTGAAAAAGGAAATATCTTCCCATAAAAACTAGACAGAAGCATTCTCAGAAACTTACTCGTGATGTGTGTCCTCAACTTAAGGAGTAGAACCTTTGTTTTCATAGAGAAGTTTTGAAACGCTCTTTTTGTGGAATCTGCAAGTGGATATTTGGCTAGTTTTGAGGATTTCGTTGGAAGCGGGAATTCATACAAATTGCAGACTGCAGCGTTCTGAGAAACATCTTTGTGATGTTTGTATTCAGGACACAGAGTTGAACATTCCCTATCATAGAGCAGGTTGGAATCACTCCTTTTGTAGTATCTGGAAGTGGACATTTGGAGCGCTTTCCGGCCTATGTTGGAAAAGGAAATATCTTCCCATAACAACTAGACAGAAGCATTCTCAGAAACTTGTTTGTGATGTGTGCCCTCTACTGACAGAGTTGAACCTTTCTTTTCATAGAGCAGTTTTGAAACACTCTTTTTGTAGAATCCGCAAGAGGATATTTGCATAGCATTGAGGATTTCGTGGGAAACGGGATTGTCTTCAGGTAAAATCTACACAGAAGCATTCTCAGAAACTTCTTTGGGATGTTTACATTCAAGTCACAGAGTAGAACATTCCCTTTGGTAGAGCAGGTTTGAAACCCTCTTTTTGTAGTATCTGGAAGTGGACATTTGGAGCGCTTTCTGGCCCATGTTGCAAAGGGAAATATCTTCCCGTAACAACTAGGCAGAAGCATTCTCAGAAACTTATTTGAGATGTGTGTACTCAACTAAGAGAATTGAACCACCGTTTTGAAGGAGCAGTTTTGAAACACTCTTTTTCTGGAATCTGCAAGAGGATATTTGCCTAGCCTTGAGGATTTCGTTGGAAACGGGATTGTCTTCAGATAAAATCTAGACAGAAGCATTCTCAGAAACTTCTTTGGGATGTTTGCATTCAAGTCACAGAGTAGAATATTCCCTTTGGTAGAGCAGGTTTGAAACACTCTTTTTTTAGTATATGGAATTGGACATTTGGAGCGCTTTCAGGCCTACGTTGGAAAAGGAAATATCTTCCCATAACAACTAGACAGAAGCATTCTCAGAAACTAGTTTCTGATGTGTGTCCTCAACTAACACAGTTGAACTTTTCTTTAGACAGAACAGTTTTGAAACACTCTTTTTGTGGAATCTGCAAGTGGATATTTGGCTAGATTTGAGGATTTCGTTGGAAACGGGATTACATATAAAAAGCAGACAGCAGCATTCTCAGAAAGTTCTTTGTGATGATTGCATTCAAGTCACAGAATTGAACATTCCCTTTCACAGAGCAGGTTTGAAACACTCTTTTTGTAGTGTGTGTAAGTGGACATTTGGAGCGCTTTCCGGCCTAAGGTGAAAAAGGAAATATCTTCCCATAAAAACTAGACAGAAGCATTCTCAGAAACTTACTCGTGATGTGTGTCCTCAACTAAAGGAGTAGAACCTTTCTATTCATAGAGAAGTTTTGAAACGCTCTTTTTGTGGAATCTCCAAGTGGATATTTGGCTAGTTTTGAGGATTTCGTTGGAAGCGGGAATTCATACAAATTGCAGACTGCAGCGTTCTGAGAAACATCTTTGTGATGTTTGTATTCAGAACACAGAGATGAACATTCCCTATCATAGAGCAGGTTGGAATCACTCCTTTTGTAGTATCTGGAAGTGGACATTTGGAGCGCTTTCAGGCCTATGTTGAAAAAGGAAATATCTTCCCATAACAACTAGACACAAGCATTCTCAGAAACTTGTTTGTGATGTGTGCCCTCTACTGACAGAGTTGAACCTTTCTTTTCATAGAGCAGTTTTGAAACACTCTTTTTGTAGAATCTGCAAGAGGATATTTGCATAGCTTTGAGGATTTCGTGGGAAACGGGATTGTCTTCAGGTAAAATCTAGACAGAAGCATTGTCAGAAACTTCTTTGGGATGTTTGCATTCAAGTCACAGAGTAGAACATTCCCTTTGGTAGAGCAGGTTTGAAACACTCTTTTTGTAGTATCTGGAAGTGGACATTTGGAGTGCTTTCAGGACCATGTTGGAAAGGGAAATATCTTCCCGTAACAACTAGGCAGAAGCATTCTCAGAAACTTATTTGAGATGTGTGTACTCAACTAAGAAAATTGAACCACCGTTTTGAAGGAGCAGTTTTGAAACACTCTTTTTCTGGAATCTGCAAGAGGATATTTGCCTAGCTTTGAGGATTTCGTTGGAAACGGGATTGTCTTCAGATCAAATCTAGACAGAAGCATTCTCAGGAAACTTCTTTGGGATGTTTGCATTCAAGTCACAGAGTAGAACATTCCCTTTGGTAGAGCAGGTTTGAAACACTCTTTTTTTAGTATATGGAAGTGGACATTTGGAGCGCTTTCAGGCCTACGTTGGAAAAGGAAATATCTTCCCATAACAACTAGACAGAAGCATTCTCAGAAACTAGTTTCTGATGTGTGTCCTCAACTAACACAGTTGAACTTTTCTTTAGACAGAACAGTTTTGAAACACTCTTTTTGTGGAATCTGCAAGTGGATATTGGGCTAGATTTGAGGATTTCGTTGGAAACGGGATTACATATAAAAAGCAGACAGCAGCATTCTCAGAAAGTTCTTTGTGATGATTGCATTCAAGTCACAGAATTGAACATTCCCTTTCACAGAGCAGGTTTGAAACACTCTTTTTGTAGTGTGTGTAAGTGGACATTTGGAGCGCTTTCCGGCCTAAGGTGAAAAAGGACATATCTTCCCATAAAAACTAGACGGAAGCATCCTCAGAAACTTACTCGTGATGTGTGTCCTCAACTAAAGGAGTAGAACCTTTCTATTCATAGAGAAGTTTTGAAACGCTCTTTTTGTGGAATCTCCAAGTGGATATTTGGCTAGTTTTGAGGATTTCGTTGGAAGCGGGAATTCATACAAATTGCAGACTGCAGCGTTCTGAGAAACATCTTTGTGATGTTTGTATTCAGGACACAGAGATGAACATTCCCTATCATAGAGCAGGTTGGAATCACTCCTTTTGTAGTATCTGGAAGTGGACATTTGGAGCGCTTTCAGGCCTATGTTGATAAAGGAAATATCTTCCCATAACAACTAGACACAAGCATTCTCAGAAACTTGTTTGTGATGTGTGCCCTCTACTGACAGAGTTGAACCTTTCTTTTCATAGAGCAGTTTTGAAACACTCTTTTTGTAGAATCTGCAAGAGGATATTTGCATAGCTTTGAGGATTTCGTGGGAAACGGGATTGTCTTCAGGTAAAATCTAGACAGAAGCATTCTCAGAAACTTCTTTGGGATGTTTGCATTCAAGTCACAGAGTAGAACATTCCCTTTGGTAGAGCAGGTTTGAAACACTCTTTTTGTAGTATCTGGAAGTGGACATTTGGAGCGCTTTCAGGCCCATGTTGGAAAGGGAAATATCTTCCCGTAACAACTAGGCAGAAGCATTCTCAGAAACTTATTTGAGATGTGTGTACTCAACTAAGAGAATTGAACCACCGTTTTGAAGGAGCAGTTTTGAAACACTCTTTTTCTGGAATCTGCAAGAGTATATTTGCCTAGCCTTGAGGATTTCGTTGGAAACGGGATTGTCTTCAGAGAAAATCTAGACAGAAGCATTCTCAGAAACTTCTTTGGGATGTTTGCATTCAAGTCACAGAGTAGAACATTCCCTTTGGTAGAGCAGGTTTGAAACACTCTTTTTTTAGTATATGGAAGTGGACATTTGGAGCGCTTTCAGGCCTACGTTGGAAAAGGAAATATCTTCCCATAACAACTAGACAGAAGCATTCTCAGAAACTGGTTTCTGATGTGTTTCCTCAACTAACACAGTTGTACATTTCTTTATACAGAACAGTTTTGAAACACTCTTTTTGTGGAATCTGCAAGTGGATATTGGGCTAGATTTGAGGATTTCGTTGGAAACGCGATTACATATAAAAAGCAGACAGCAGCATTCTCAGAAAGTTCTTTGTGATGATTGCATTCAAGTCACAGAATTGAACATTCCCTTTCACAGAGCAGGTTTGAAACACTCTTTTTGTAGTGTGTGTAAGTGGACATTTGGAGCGCTTTCCGGCCTAAGGTGAAAAAGGAAATATCTTCCCATAAAAACTAGACAGAAGCATTCTCAGAAACTTACTCGTGATGTGTGTCCTCAACTAAAGGAGTAGAACCTTTCTATTCATAGAGAAGTTTTGAAACGCTCTTTTTGTGGAATCTCCAAGTGGATATTTGGCTAGTTTTGAGGATTTCGTTGGAAGCGGGAATTCATACAAATTGCAGACTGCAGCGTTCTGAGAAACATCTTTGTGATGTTTCTATTCAGGACACAGAGATGAACATTCCCTATCATAGAGCAGGTTGGAATCACTCCTTTTGTAGTATCTGGAAGTGGACATTTGGAGCGCTTTCAGGCCTATGTTGAAAAAGGAAATATCTTCCCATAACAACTAGACACAAGCATTCTCAGAAACTTGTTTGTGATGTGTGCCCTCTACTGACAGAGTTGAACCTTTCTTTTCATAGAGCAGTTTTGAAACACTCTTTTTGTAGAATCCGCAAGAGGATATTTGCATAGCTTTGAGGATTTCGTGGGAAACGGGATTGTCTTCAGGTAAAATCTAGACAGAAGCATTCTCAGAAACTTCTTTGGGATGTTTGCATTCAAGTCACAGAGTAGAACATTCCCTTTGGTAGAGCAGGTTTGAAACACTCTTTTTGTAGTATCTGGAAGTGGACATTTGGAGCGCTTTCAGGCCCATGTTGGAAAGGGAAATATCTTCCCGTAACAACTAGGCAGAAGCATTCTCAGAAACTTATTTGAGATGTGTGTACTCAACTAAGAGAATTGAACCACCGTTTTGAAGGAGCAGTTTTGAAACACTCTTTTTCTGGAATCTGCAAGAGTATATTTGCCTAGCCTTGAGGATTTCGTTGGAAACGGGATTGTCTTCAGATAAAATCTAGACAGAAGCATTCTCAGAAACTTCTTTGGGATGTTTGCATTCAAGTCACAGAGTAGAACATTCCCTTTGGTAGAGCAGGTTTGAAACACTCTTTTTTTAGTATATGGAAGTGGACATTTGGAGCGCTTTCAGGCCTACGTTGGAAAAGGAAATATCTTCCCATAACAACTAGACAGAAGCATTCTCAGAAACTAGTTTCTGATGTGTGTCCTCAACTAACACAGTTGAACTTTTCTTTAGACAGAACAGTTTTGAAACACTCTTTTTGTGGAATCTGCAAGTGGATATTTGGCTAGATTTGAGGATTTCGTTGGAAACGGGATTACATATAAAAAGCAGACAGCAGCATTCTCAGAAAGTTCTTTGTGATGATTGCATTCAAGTCACAGAATTGAACATTCCCTTTCACAGAGCAGGTTTGAAACCCTCTTTTTGTAGTGTGTGTAAGTGGACATTTGGAGCGCTTTCCGGCCTAAGGTGAAAAAGGAAATATCTTCCCATAAAAACTGGACAGAAGCATTCTCAGAAACTTGTTTATGCTGTATCTACTCAACTAACAAAGTTGAACCTTTCTTTTGATAGAGCAGTTTTGAAATGGTCTTTTTGTGGAATCTGCAAGTGGATATTTGGCTAGTTTTGAGGATTTCGTTGGAAGCGGGAATTCATACAAATTGCAGACTGCAGCGTTCTGAGAAACATCTTTGTGATGTTTGTATTCAGGACACAGAGATGAACATTCCCTATCATAGAGCAGGTTGGAATCACTCCTTTTGTAGTATCTGGAAGTGGACATTTGGAGCGCTTTCAGGCCTATGTTGAAAAAGGAAATATCTTCCCATAACAACTAGACACAAGCATTCTCAGAAACTTGTTTGTGATGTGTGCCCTCTACTGAGAGAGTTGAACCTTTCTTTTCATAGAGCAGTTTTGAAACACTCTTTTTGTAGAATCTGCAAGAGGATATTTGCATAGCTTTGAGGATTTCGTGGGAAACGGGATTGTCTTCAGGTAAAATCTAGACAGAAGCATTCTCAGAAACTTCTTTGGGATGTTTGCATTCAAGTCACAGAGTAGAACATTCCCTTTGGTAGAGCAGGTTTGAAACCCTCTTTTTGTAGTATCTGGAAGTGGACATTTGGAGCGCTTTCAGGCCCATGTTGGAAAGGGAAATATCTTCCCGTAACAACTAGGCAGAAGCATTCTCAGAAACTTATTTGAGATGTGTGTACTCAACTAAGAGAATTGAACCACCGTTTTGAAGGAGCAGTTTTGAAACACTCTTTTTCTGGAATCTGCAAGAGTATATTTGCCTAGCCTTGAGAATTTCGTTGGAAACGGGATTGTCTTCAAATAAAATCTAGACAGAAGCATTCTCAGAAACTTCTTTGGGATGTTTGCATTCAAGTCACAGAGTAGAACATTCCCTTTGGTAGAGCAGGTTTGAAACACTCTTTTTTTAGTATATGGAAGTGGACATTTGGAGCGCTTTCAGGCCTACGTTGGAAAAGGAAATATCTTCCCATAACAACTAGACAGAAGCATTCTCAGAAACTAGTTTCTGATGTGTGTCCTCAACTAACACAGTTGAACTTTTCTTTAGACAGAACAGTTTTGAAACACTCTTTTTGTGGAATCTGCAAGTGGATATTTGGCTAGATTTGAGGATTTCGTTGGAAACGGGATTACATATAAAAAGCAGACAGCAGCATTCTCAGAAAGTTCTTTGTGATGATTGCATTCAAGTCACAGAATTGAACATTGCCTTTCACAGAGCAGGTTTGAAACACTCTTTTTGTAGTGTGTGTAAGTGGACATTTGGAGCGCTTTCCGGCCTAAGGTGAAAAAGGAAATATCTTCCCATAAAAACTAGACAGAAGCCTTCTCAGAAACTTACTCGTGATGTGTGTCCTCAACTAAAGGAGTAGAACCTTTCTATTCATAGAGAAGTTTTCAAACGCTCTTTTTGTGGAATCTCCAAGTGGATATTTGGCTAGTTTTGAGGATTTCGTTGGAAGCGGGAATTCATACAAATTGCAGACTGCAGCGTTATGAGAAACATCTTTGTGATGTTTGTATTCAGGACACAGAGATGAACATTCCCTATCATAGAGCAGGTTGGCATCACTCCTTTTGTAGTATCTGGAAGTGGACATTTGGAGCGCTTTCAGGCCTATGTTGAAAAAGGAAATATCTTCCCATAACAACTAGACACAAGCATACTCAGAAACTTGTTTGTGATGTGTGACCTCTATTGACAGAGTTGAACCTTTCTTTTCATAGAGCAGTTTTGAAACACTCTTTTTGTAGAATCTGCAAGAGGATATTTGCATAGCTTTGAGGATTTCGTGGGAAACGGGATTGTCTTCAGGTAAAATCTAGACAGAAGCATTCTCAGAAACTTCTTTGTGATGTTTGCATTCAAGTCACAGAGTAGAACATTCCCTTTGGTAGAGCAGGTTTGAAACCCTCTTTTTGTAGTATCTGGAAGTGGACATTTGGAGCGCTATCAGGCCCATGTTGGAAAGGGAAATATCTTCCCGTAACAACTAGGCAGAAGCATTCTCAGAAACTTATTTGAGATGTGTGTACTCAACTAAGAGAATTGAACCACCGTTTTGAAGGAGCAGTTTTGAAACACTCTTTTTCTGGAATCTGCAAGAGGATATTTGCCTAGCCTTGAGGATTTCGTTGGAAACGGGATTGTCTTGAGATAAAATCTAGACAGAAGCATTCTCAGAAACTTCTTTGGGATGTTTGCATTCAAGTCACAGAGTAGAACGTTCCCTTTGGTAGAGCAGGTTTGAAACACTCTTTTTTTAGTATATGGAAGTGGACATTTGGAGCGCTTTCAGGCCTACGTTGGAAAAGGAAATATCTTCCCATAACAACTAGACAGAAGCATTCTCAGAAACTAGTTTCTGATGTGTGTCCTCAACTAACACAGTTGAACTTTTCTTTAGACAGAACAGTTTTGAAACACTCTTTTTGTGGAATCTGCAAGTGGATATTTGGCTAGATTTGAGGATTTCGTTGGAAACGGGATTACATATAAAAAGCAGACAGCAGCATTCTCAGAAAGTTCTTTGTGATGATTGCATTCAAGTCACAGAATTGAACATTCCCTTTCACAGAGCAGGATTGAAACACTCTTTTTGTAGTGTGTGTAAGTGGACATTTGGAGCGCTTTCCTGCCTAAGGTGAAAAACGAAATATCTTCCCATAAAAACTAGACAGAAGCATTCTCAGAAAACTTACTCGTGATGTGTGTCCTCAACTAAAGGAGTAGAACCTTTCTATTCATAGAGAAGTTTTGAAACGCTCTTTTTGTGGAATCTCCAAGTGGATATTTGGCTAGTTTTGAGGATTTCGTTGGAAGCGGGAATTCATACAAATTGCAGACTGCAGCGTTCTGAGAAACACCTTTGTGATGTTTGTATTCAGGACAGAGAGTTGAACATTCCCTATCATAGAGCAGGTTGGAATCACTCCTTTTGTAGTATCTGGAAGTGGACATTTGGAGCGCTTTCAAGCCTATGTTGAAAAAGGAAATATCTTCCCATAACAACTAGACACAAGCATTCTCAGAAACTTATTTGAGATGTGTGTACTCAACTAAGAGAATTGAACCACCCTTTTGAAGGAGCAGTTTTGAAACACTCTTTTTCTGGAATCTGCAAGAGTATATTTGCCTAGCTTTAAGGATTTCGTTGGAAACGGGATTGTCTTCAGATCAAATCTAGACAGAAGCATTCTCAGAAACTTCTTTGGGATGTTTGCATTCAAGTCACAGAGTAGAACATTCCCTTTGGTAGAGCAGGTTTGAAACACTCTTTTTGCAGTATCTGGAAGTGGACATTTGGAGAGCTTTCAGGCCTATGTTGGAAAGGGAAATATCTTCCCTTAACAACTAGGCAGAAGCATTCTCAGAAACTTATTTGAGATGTGTGTACTCAACTAAGAGAATTGAACCACCGTTTTGAAGGACCAGTTTTGAAACACTCTTTTTCTGGAATCTGCTAGAGTATATTTGCCTAGCTTTGAGGATTTCGTTGGAAACGGGATTGTCTTCAGCTAAAATCTAGACAGAAGCATTCTCAGAAACTTCTTTGGGATGTTTCTATTCAAGTCACAGAGTAGAACATTCCCTTTGGTAGAGCAGGTTTGTAACACTCTTTTTGTAGTATCTGGAAGTGGACATTTGGAGCGCTTTCAGGCCTATGTTGGAAAGGGAAATATCTTCCCGTAACAACTAGGCAGAAGCATTCTCAGAAACTTATTTGAGATGTGTGTACTCAACTAAGAGAATTGAACCACCATTTTCAAGGCGCAGTTTTGAAACACTCTTTTTCTAGAATCTGCAAGAGTATATTTGCCTAGCCTTGAGGATTTCGTTGGAAACGGGATTGTCTTCAGATAAAATCTAGACAGAAGCATTCTCAGAAACTTCTTTGGGATGTTTGCATTCAAGTCACAGAGTAGAACATTCCCTTTGGTAGAGCAGGTTTGAAACACTCTTTTTTTAGTATATGGAAGTGGACATTTGGAGCGCTTTCAGGCCTACGTTGGAAAAGGAAATATCTTCCCATAACAACTAGACAGAAGCATTCTCAGAAACTAGTTTCTGATGTGTGTCCTCAACTAACACAGTTGAACATTTCTTTAGACAGAACAGTTTTGAAACACTCTTTTTGTGGAATCTGCAAGTGGCTATTTGGCTAGATTTGAGGATTTCGTTGGAAACGGGATTACATATAAAAAGCAGACAGCAGCATTCTCAGAAAGTTCTTTGTGATGATTGCATTCAAGTCACAGAATTGAACATTCCCTTTCACAGAGCAGGTTTGAAACACTCTTTTTGTAGTGTGTGTAAGTGGACATTTGGAGCACTTTCCGGCCTAAGGTGAAAAAGGAAATATCTTCCCATAAAAACTAGACAGAAGCATTCTCAGAAACTTACTCGTGATGTGTGTCCTCAACTAAAGGAGTAGAACCTTCCTTTTCATAGAGAAGTTTTGAAACGCTCTTTTTGTGGAATCTGCAAGTGGATATTTGGCTAGTTTTGAGGATTTCGTTGGAAGCGGGAATTCATACAAATTGCAGACTGCAGCGTTCTGAGAAACATCTTTGTGATGTTTGTATTCAGGACACAGAGTTGAACATTCCCTATCATAGAGCAGGTTTGAATCACTCCTTTTGTAGTATCTGGAAGTGGACATTTGGAGCGCTTTCTGGCCTCAGGTGAAAAAGGAAATATCTTCCCATAAAAACTAGACAGAAGCATTCTCAGAAACTTATTTGAGATGTGTGTACTCAACTAAGAGAATTGAACCACCGTTTTGAAGGAGCAGTTTTGAAACACTCTTTTTCTGGAATCTGCAAGTGGATATTTAGCTAGCTTTGGGGATTTCGCTGGAAGCGGGAATACATATAAAAAGCACACAGCAGCGTTCTGAGAAACTGCTTTCTGATGTTTGCATTCAAGTCAAAAGTTGAACACTCCCTTTCATAGAGCAGTCTTGAAACACCCCTTTTGTAGTATCTGGAACTGGACTTTTGGAGCGCTTTCAGGGCTAAGGTGAAAAAGGAAATATCTTCCCATAAAAACTGGACAGAAGCATTCTCAGAAACTTGTTTATGCTGTATCTACTCAACTAACAAAGTTGAACCTTTCTTTTGATAGAGCAGTTTTGAAATGCTCTTTTTGTGGAATCTGCAAGTGGATATTTGGCTAGTTTTGAGGATTTCGTTGGGAGCGGGAATTCATACAAATTGCAGACTGCAGCGTTCTGAGAAACATCTTTGTGATGTTTGTATTCAGGACAGAGAGTTGAACATTCCCTATCATAGAGCAGGTTGGAATCACTCCTTTTGTAGTATCTGGAAGTGGACATTTGGAGCGCTTTCAGGCCTATGTTGAAAAAGGAAATATCTTCCCATAACAACTAGACACAAGCATTCTCAGAAACTTGTTTGTGATGTGTGCCCTCTACTGACAGAGTTGAACCTTTCTTTTCATAGAGCAGTTTTGAAACACTCTTTTATAGAATCCGCAAGAGGATATTTGGATAGCTTTGAGGATTTCGTGGGAAACGGGATTGTCTTCAGGTAAAATCTAGACAGAAGCATTCTCAGAAACTTCTTTGGGATGTTTGCATTCAAGTCACAGAGTAGAACATTCCCTTTGGTAGAGCAGGTTTGAAACACTCTTTTTGTAGTATCTGGAAGTGGACATTTGGAGCGCTTTCAGGCCTATGTTGGAAAGGGAAATATCTTCCCGTAACAACTAGGCAGAAGCATTCTCAGAAACTTATTTGAGATGTGTGTACTCAACTAAGAGAATTGAACCACCGTTTTGAAGGAGCAGTTTTGAAACCCTCTTTTTCTGGAATCTGCAAGAGTATATTTGCCTAGCCTTGAGGATTTCGCTGGAAACGGGATTGTCTTCAGATAAAATCTAGACAGAAGCATTCTCAGAAACTTCTTTGGGATGTTTGCATTCAAGTCACTGAGTAGAACATTCCCTTTGGTAGAGCAGGTTTGAAACACTCTTTTTTTAGTATATGGAAGTGGACATTTGGAGCGCTTTCAGGCCTACGTTGGGAAAGGAAATATCTTCCCATAACAACTAGACAGAAGCATTCTCAGAAACTAGTTTCTGATGTGTGTCCTCAACTAACACAGTTGAACATTTCTTTAGACAGAACAGTTTTGAAACACTCTTTTTGTGGAATCTGCAAGTGGCTATTTGGCTAGATTTGAGGATTTCGTTGGAAACGGGATTACATATAAAAAGCAGTCAGCAGCATTCTCAGAAACTTCTTTGTGATGATTGCATTCAAGTCACAGAATTGAACATTCCCTTTCACAGAGCAGGTTTGAAACACTCTTTTTGTAGTGTGTGTAAGTGGACATTTGGAGCACTTTCCGGCCTAAGGTGAAAAAGGAAATATCTTCCCATAAAAACTAGACAGAAGCATTCTCAGAAACTTACTCGTGATGTGTGTCCTCAACTAAAGGAGTAGAACCTTTCTTTTCATAGAGAAGTTTTGAAACGCTCTTTTTGTGGAATCTGCAAGTGGATATTTGGCTAGTTTTGAGGATTTCGTTGGAAGCGGGAATTCATACAAATTGCAGACTGCAGCGTTCTGAGAAACATCTTTGTGATGTTTGTATTCAGGACACAGAGTTGAACGTTCCCTATCATAGAGCAGGTTTGAATCACTCCTTTTGTAGTATCTGGAAGTGGACATTTGGAGCGCTTTCCGGCCTCAGGTGAAAAAGGAAATATCTTCCCATAAAAACTAGACAGAAGCATTCTCAGAAACTTATTTGTGATGTGTGTCCTCAACTGACAGAGTTGAACATTTCTTTTGAGAGAGCAGTTTTGAAACACTCTTTTTGTGGAATCTGCAAGTGGATATTTGGCTGGCTTTGAGGATTTCGTTGGAAACGGGAATACATATAAAAAGCAGACAGCAGCATTCTCAGATAGTTCTTTGTGATGATTGCATTCAAGTCACAGAATTGAAAATTCCCTTTCACAGAGCAGGTTTGAAACATTCTTTTTGTAGTGTGTGTAAGTGGACATTTGGAGAGCTTTCTGGCCTAAGGTGGAAAAGGAAATATCTTCCCATAAAAACTAGACAGAAGCATTCTCAGAAACTTACTCGTGATGTGTGTCCTCAACTAAAGGAGTAGAACCTTTCTTTTCATAGAGAAGTTTTGAAACGCTCTTTTTGTGGAATCTGCAAGTGGATATTTGGCTAGTTTGGAGGATTTCGTTGGAAGCGGGAATTCATACAAATTGCAGACTGCAGCGTTCTGAGAAACATCTTTGTGATGTTTGTATTCAGGACACAGAGTTGAACATTCCCTATCATAGAGCAGGTTTGAATCACTCCTTTTGTAGTATCTGGAAGTGGACATTTGGAGCGCTTTCAGGCCTATGTTGGAAAAGGAAATATCTTCCCATAACAACTAGACAGAAGCATTCTCAGAAACTTATTTGAGATGTGTGTACTCAACTAAGAGAATTGAACCACCGTTTTGAAGGAGCAGTTTTGAAACACTCTTTTTCTGGAATCTGCAAGTGGATATTTGGCTAGCTTTGGGGATTTCGCTGGAAGCGGGAATACATATAAAAAGCACACAGCAGCGTTCTGAGAAGCTGCTTTCTGATGTTTGCATTCAAGTCAAAAGTTGAACACTCCCTTTCATAGAGCAGTCTTGAAACACCCCTTTTGTAGTATCTGGAACTGGACTTTTGGAGCGATTTCAGGGCTAAGGTGAAAAAGGAAATATCTTCCCATAAAAACTGGACAGAAGCATTCTCAGAAACTTGTTTATGCTGTATCTACTCAACTAACAAAGTTGAACCTTTCTTTTGATAGAGCAGTTTTGAAATGGTCTTTTTGTGGAATCTGCAAGTGGATATTTGGCTAGTTTTGAGGATTTCGTTGGAAGCGGGAATTCATACAAATTGCAGACTGCAGCGTTCTGAGAAACATCTTTGTGATGTTTGTATTCAGGACACAGAGTTGAACATTCCCTATCATAGAGCAGGTTGGAATCACTCCTTTTGTAGTATCTGGAAGTGGACATTTGGAGCGCTTTCAGGCCTATTTTGGAAAGGGAAATATCTTCCCGTAACAACTATGCAGAAGCATTCTCAGAAACTTGTTTGTGATGTGTGCCCTCTACTGACAGAGTTGAACCTTTCTTTTCATAGAGCAGTTTTGAAACACTCTTTTTGTAGAATCTGCAAGAGGATATTTGCATAGCTTTGAGGATTTCGTGGGAAACGGGATTGTCTTCAGGTAAAATCTAGACAGAAGCATTCTCAGAAACTTCTTTGGGATGTTTGCATTCAAGTCACAGAGTAGAACATTTCCTTTGGTAGAGCAGGTTTGAAACACTCTTTTTGTAGTATCTGGAAGTGGACATTTGGAGCGCTTTCAGGCCCATGTTGGAAAGGGAAATATCTTCCCGTAACAACTAGGCAGAAGCATTCTCAGAAACTTATTTGAGATGTGTGTACTCAACTAAGAGAATTGAACCACCGTTTTGAAGGAGCAGTTTTGAAACACTCTTTTTCTGGAATCTGCAAGAGTATATTTGCCTAGCCTTGAGGATTTCGTTGGAAACGGGATTGTCTTCAGAGAAAATCTAGACAGAAGCATTCTCAGAAACTTCTTTGGGATGTTTGCATTCAAGTCACAGAGTAGAACATTCCCTTTGGTAGAGCAGGTTTGAAACACTCTTTTTTTAGTATATGGAAGTGGACATTTGGAGCGCTTTCAGGCCTACGTTGGAAAAGGAAATATCTTCCCATAACAACTAGACAGAAGCATTCTGCAGAAACTAGTTTCTGATGTGTGTCCTCAACTAACACAGTTGAACATTTCTTTAGACAGCAACAGTTTTGAAACACTCTTTTTGTGGAATCTGCAAGTGGATATTTGGCTAGATTTGAGGATTTCGTTGGAAACGGGATTACATATAAAAAGCAGACAGCAGCATTCTCAGAAAGTTCTTTGTGATGATTGCATTCAAGTCACAGAATTGAACATTCCCTTTCACAGAGCAGGTTTGAAACACTCTTTTTGTAGTGTGTGTAAGTGGACATTTGGAGCGCTTTCCGGCCTAAGGTGAAAAAGGACATATCTTCCCATAAAAACTAGACAGAAGCATTCTCAGAAACTTACTCGTGATGTGTGTCCTCAACTAAAGGAGTAGAACCTTTCTATTCATAGAGAAGTTTTGAAACGCTCTTTTTGTGGAATCTCCAAGTGGATATTTGGCTAGTTTTGAGGATTTCGTTGGAAGCGGGAATTCATCCAAATTGCAGACTGCAGCGTTCTGAGAAACATCTTTGTGATGTTTGTATTCAGGACACAGAGATGAACATTCCCTATCATAGAGCAGGTTGGAATCACTCCTTTTGTAGTATCTGGAAGTGGACATTTGGAGCGCTTTCAGGCCTATGTTGAAAAAGGAAATATCTTCCCATAACAACTAGACACAAGCATTCTCAGAAACTTGTTTGTGATGTGTGCCCTCTACTGACAGAGTTGAACCTTTCTTTTCATAGAGCAGTTTTGAAACACTCTTTTTGTAGAATCCGCAAGAGGATATTTGCATAGCTTTGAGGATTTCGTGGGAAACGGGATTGTCTTCAGGTAAAATCTAGACAGAAGCATTCTCAGAAACTTCTTTGGGATGTTTGCATTCAAGTCACAGAGTAGAACATTCCCTTTGGTAGAGCAGGTTTGAAACACTCTTTTTGTAGTATCTGGAAGTGGACATTTGGAGCGCTTTCAGGCCCATGTTGGAAAGGGAAATATCTTCCCGTAACAACTAGGCAGAAGCATTCTCAGAAACTTATTTGAGATGTGTGTACTCAACTAAGAGAATTGAACCACCGTTTTGAAGGAGCAGTTTTGAAACACTCTTTTTCTGGAATCTGCAAGAGTATATTTGCCTAGCCTTGAGGATTTCGTTAGAAACGGGATTGTCTTCAGATAAAATATAGACAGAAGCATTCTCAGAAACTTCTTTGGGATGTTTGCATTCAAGTCACAGAGTAGAACATTCCCTTTGGTAGAGCAGGTTTGAAACACTCTTTTTTTAGTATATGGAAGTGGACATTTGGAGCGCTTTCAGGCCTACGTTGGAAAAGGAAATATCTTCCCATAACAACTAGACAGAAGCATTCTCAGAAACTAGTTTCTGATGTGTGTCCCCAACTAACACAGTTGAACTTTTCTTTAGACAGAACAGTTTTGAAACACTCTTTTTGTGGAATCTGCAAGTGAATATTGGGCTAGATTTGAGGATTTCGTTGGAAACGGGATTACATATAAAAAGCAGACAGCAGCATTCTCAGAAAGTTCTTTGTGATGATTGCATTCAAGTCACAGAATTGAACATTCCCTTTCACAGAGCAGGGTTGAAACACGCTTTTTGTAGTGTGTGTAAGTGGACATTTGGAGTGCTTTCCGGCCTAAGGTGAAAAAGGAAATATCTTCCCATAAAAACTAGACAGAAGCATTCTCAGAAACTTACTCGTGATGTGTGTCCTCAACTAAAAGATAGAACCTTTCTATTCATAGAGAAGTTTTGAAACGCTCTTTTTGTGGAATCTCCAAGTGGATATTTGGCTAGTTTTGAGGATTTCGTTGGAAGCGGGAATTCATACAAATTGCAGACTGCAGCGTTCTGAGAAACATCTTTGTGATGTTTGTATTCAAGACACAGAGATGAACATTCCCTATCATAGAGCAGGTTGGAATCACTCCTTTTGTAGTATCTGGAAGTGGACATTTGGAGCGCTTTCAGGCCTATGTTGAAAAAGGAAATATCTTCCCATAACAACTAGACACAAGCATTCTCAGAAACTTGTTTGTGATGTGTGCCCTCTACTGACAGAGTTGAACCTTTCTTTTCATAGAGCAGTTTTGAAACACTCTTTTTGTAGAATCCGCAAGAGGATATTTGCATAGCTTTGAGGATTTCGGGGGAAACGGGATTGTCTTCAGGTAAAATCTAGACAGAAGCATTCTCAGAAACTTCTTTGGGATGTTTGCATTCAAGTCACAGAGTAGAACATTCCCTTTGGTAGAGCAGGTTTGAAACACTCTTTTTGTAGTATCTGGAAGTGGACATTTGGAGCGCTTTCAGGCCCATGTTGGAAAGGGAAATATCTTCCCGTAACAACTAGGCAGAAGCATTCTCAGAAACTTATTTGAGATGTGTGTACTCAACTAAGAGAATTGAACCACCGTTTTGAAGGAGCAGTTTTGAAACACTCTTTTTCTGGAATCTGCAAGAGTATATTTGCCTAGCCTTGAGGATTTCGTTGGAAACGGGATTGTCTTCAGATAAAATCTAGACAGAAGCATTCTCAGAAACTTCTTTGGGATGTTTGCATTCAAGTCACAGAGTAGAACATTCCCTTTGGTAGAGCAGTTTTGAAACACTCTTTTTTTAGTATATGGAAGTGGACATTTGGAGCGCTTTCAGGCCTACGTTGGAAAAGGAAATATCTTCCCATAACAACTAGACAGAGGCATTCTCAGAAACTAGTTTCTGATGTGTGTCTTCAACTAACACAGTTGAACTTTTCTTTAGACAGAACAGTTTTGAAACACTCTTTTTGTGGAATCTGCAAGTAGGATATTTGGCTAGATTTGAGGATTTCGTTGGAAACGGGATTACATATAAAAAGCAGACAGCAGCATTCTCAGAAAGTTCTTTGTGATGATTGCATTCAAGTCACAGAATTGAACATTCCCTTTCACAGAGCAGGTTTGAAACACTCTTTTTGTAGTGTGTGTAAGTGGACATTTGGAGCACTTACCGGCCTAAGGTGAAAAAGGAAATATCTTCCCATAAAAACTAGACAGAAGCATTCTCAGAAACTTACTCGTGATGTGTGTCCTCAACTAAAGTAGTAGAACCTTTCTTTTCATAGAGAAGTTTTGAAACGCTCTTTTTGTGGAATCTGCAAGTGGATATTTGGCTAGTTTTGAGGATTTCGTTGGAAGCGGGAATTCATACAAATTGCAGACTGCAGCGTTCTGAGAAACATCTTTGTGATGTTTGTATTCAGGACACAGAGTTGAACATTCCCTATCATAGAGCAGGTTTGAATCACTCCTTTTGTAGTATCTGGAAGTGGACATTTGGAGCGCTTTCAGGCCTATGTTGGAAAAGGAAATATCTTCCCATAACAACTAGACAGAAGCATTCTCAGAAACTTATTTGAGATGTGTCTACTCAACTAAGAGAATTGAACCACCGTTTTGAAGGAGCAGTTTTGAAACACTCTTTTTCTGGAATCTGCAAGTGGATATTTGGCTAGCTTTGGGGATTTCGCTGGAAGCGGGAATACATATAAAAAGCACAAAGCAGCGTTCTGAGAAACTGCTTTCTGATGTTTGCATTCAAGTCAAAAGTTGAACACTCCCTTTCATAGAGCAGTCTTGAAACACCCCTTTTGTAGTATCTGGAACTGGACTTTTGGAGCGATTTTAGGGCTAAGGTGAAAAAGGAAATATCTTCCCATAAAAACTGGACAGAAGCATTCTCAGAAACTTGTTTATGCTGTATCTACTCAACTAACAAAGTTGAACCTTTCTTTTGATAGAGCAGTTTTGAAATGGTCTTTTTGTGGAATCTGCAAGTGGATATTTGGCTAGTTTTGAGGATTTCGTTGGAAGCGGGAATTCATACAAATTGCAGACTGCAGCGTTCTGAGAAACATCTTTGTGATGTTTGTATTCAGGACACAGAGTTGAACATTCCCTATCATAGAGCAGGTTGGAATCACTCCTTTTGTAGTATCTGGAAGTGGACATTTGGAGCGCTTTCAGGCCTATTTTGGAAAGGGAAATATCTTCCCGTAACAACTATGCAGAAGCATTCTCAGAAACTTGTTTGTGATGTGTGCCCTCTACTGACAGAGTTGAACCTTTCTTTTCATAGAGCAGTTTTGAAACACTCTTTTTGTAGAATCTGCAAGAGGATATTTGCATAGCTTTGAGGATTTCGTGGGAAACGGGATTGTCTTCAGGTAAAATCTAGACAGAAGCATTCTCAGAAACTTCTTTGGGATGTTTGCATTCAAGTCACAGAGTAGAACATTCCCTTTGGTAGAGCAGGTTTGAAACACTCTTTTTGTAGTATCTGGAAGTGGACATTTGGAGCGCTTTCAGGCCCATGTTGGAAAGGGAAATATCTTCCCGTAACAACTAGGCAGAAGCATTCTCAGAAACTTATTTGAGATGTGTGTACTCAACTAAGAGAATTGAACCACCGTTTTGAAGGAGCAGTTTTGAAACACTCTTTTTCTGGAATCTGCAAGAGTATATTTGCCTAGCCTTGAGGATTTCGTTGGAAACGGGATTGTCTTCAGAGAAAATCTAGACAGAAGCATTCTCAGAAACTTCTTTGGGATGTTTGCATTCAAGTCACAGAGTAGAACATTCCCTTTGGTAGAGCAGGTTTGAAACACTCTTTTTGTAGTATCTGGAAGTGGACATTTGGAGCGCTTTCAGGCCTACGTTGGAAAAGGAAATATCTTCCCATAACAACTAGACAGAAGCATTCTCAGAAACTAGTTTCTGATGTGTGTCCTCAACTAACACAGTTGAACATTTCTTTAGACAGAACAGTTTTGAAACACTCTTTTTGTGGAATCTGCAAGTGGCTATTTGGCTAGATTTGAGGATTTCGTTGGAAACGGGATTACATATAAAAAGCAGTCAGCAGCATTCTCAGAAAGTTCTTTGTGATGATTGCATTCAAGTCACAGAATTGAACATTCCCTTTCACAGAGCAGGTTTGAAACACTCTTTTTGTAGTCTGTGTAAGTGGACATTTGGAGCACTTTCCGGCCTAAGGTGAAAAAGGAAATATCTTCCCATAAAAACTAGACAGAAGCATTCTCAGAAACTTACTCGTGATGTGTGTCCTCAACTAAAGGAGTAGAACCTTCCTTTTCATAGAGAAGTTTTGAAACGCTCTTTTTGTGGAATCTGCAAGTGGATATTTGGCTAGTTTTGAGGATTTCCGTTGGAAGCGGGAATTCATACAAATTGCAGACTGCAGCGTTCTGAGAAACATCTTTGTGATGTTTGTATTCAGGACACAGAGTTGAACATTCCCTATCATAGAGCAGGTTTGAATCACTCCTTTTGTAGTATCTGGAAGAGGACATTTGGAGCGCTTTCAGGCCTATGTTGGAAAAGGAAATATCTTCCCATAACAACTAGACAGAAGCATTCTCAGAAACTTATTTGAGATGTGTGTACTCAACTAAGAGAATTGAACCACCGTTTTGAAGGAGCAGTTTTGAAACACTCTTTTTCTGGAATCTGCAAGTGGATATTTGGCTAGCTTTGGGGACTTCGCTGGAGGCGGGAATACATATAAAAAGCACACAGCAGCGTTCTGAGAAACTGCTTTCTGATGTTTGCATTCAAGTCAAAAGTTGAACACTCCCTTTCATAGAGCAGTCCTGAAACACTCCTTTTGTAGTATCTGGAACTGGACTTTTGGAGCGCTTTCAGGGCTAAGGTGAAAAAGGAAATATCTTCCCATAAAAACTGGACAGAAGCATTCTCAGAAACTTGTTTATGCTGTATCTACTCAACTAACAAAGTTGAACCTTTCTTTTGATAGAGCAGTTTTGAAATGCTCTTTTTGTGGAATCTGCAAGTGGATATTTGGCTAGTTTTGAGGATTTCGTTGGAAGCGGGAATTCATACAAATTGCAGACTGCAGCGTTCTGAGAAACATCTTTGTGATGTTTGTATTCAGGACAGAGAGTTGAACATTCCCTATCATAGAGCAGGTTGGAATCACTCCTTTTGTAGTATCTGGAAGTGGACATTTGGAGCGCTTTCAGGGCCTATGTTGAAAAAGGAAATATTTTCCCATAACAACTAGACACA